>NT_167249.2:2088117-2102176 GCF_000001405.40 Homo sapiens | reverse complement strand
GGCCAACATGGTGAAACCCCGTCTCTACTAAAAATAAAAATTAGCTGGGTGTGGTGGCGGGCGCCCGTAATCCCAGCTACTCAGGAGGCTGAGGCAGGAGAATCACTTGAACCCAAGAGACAGAGGTTGCAGTGAGCCGAGATCACACCACTGCACTCCAGCCCAGGCGACACAGTAAGACTCCGTCTCAAGGAAAAAACAAAAACACAAAAAACTGGGCTCCTGAGTGCTCCACACGCGTGAGTGGCCATCCTGCTCCTGAGAAGCAGCTCTCCAACCCCCTGGCCCAAGTAGAGCTGGGCCCTCCTGGACGTCTACAGGATCCACTCCCCCTTGAATCATTCTCTGGACAGGCCTTTAATGCACTCTTCCTCAAGCCCTAAAGGTCATAACTCCTTGAATGGCTGGAAAAACACTGTGCTGAAATCACAAAGAATCCAGGAAAGAAAAACAGGCAGCAAAATGGAACCAAACACAGGGAGTTGAACAGACGTTTATTTTGATCCATGTCCAGCTTTGGCCAAGAAAATAATAAAATGTCCAGGAAAAATCAAGCTGAAGGGAGGGGGTGGGAGAGAGGAGCTAGTAATATCAAATTTGAGACTCTATATGAAAAAAGACAAAAGTTGGTCCACTTATCATAGCATACATACAAAAAGATAAATTCCATATGAGACTTTAAAAAACAAAAACCACACAATATTAAAGGGAAATAAATTCTTCTACAGCTTGGGAGTGGAAAAGACTTGCATAACTATGGCTAAATCTTCAGCTGCAGTTGAAGAGAAAGAATGATAAATTTTGGCTGGGCATGGTGGCTCATGCCTGTAATCCCAGCACTTTGGGAGGCCAAGGCAGGTGGATCATGAGGTCGGGAGTTCAAGACCAGCCTGGCCAATATGGTGAAACCCCGTCTCTACTAAAAATGCAAAAATTAGTCAAGCATGGTGGCGCTCACTTGTAGTCCCAGCTACTCAGGAGGCTGAGGCAGGAGAATCGCAAAAAAACAAAAAACAAAACAAAAACAAAAACAAAAAACAAAACAAACGAAACAAAACAACTATCCTAAGGTAGCATATTATACCTATCAGATCGGCAAAAAATCCAAAAATTTGTCAATACATGTAGTTGGCAAAGCTATAGGGAAATAGGCATTCTAGTACATTGTGACTAGGAATGCAAAATGAGGCAATCTCTATGGAAGGGAATTTGACTGGCTGTATCTAGCAAAATTACATATGCATTTCCAGCAATACCGTTTCTAGGAAACTATTCCAAAACATCACTGGCAAAAATATGAAAAAGTATTTGTGTAGGCTATTTATTGCAGCTCTATTTGTCATAACAAAAGACTAGAAATAGGCCGAGCATGGTGGCTGTAATCCTAGCACTTTTTGAGAGGCCAAGGCGGGCTGTTTGCTTAAGCCCAGGAGTTCAAGGCCAGCCTGAGCAACATGGTGAAACTCCATCTCTATTTCAAATTTTAAAAATAAATAAATAAATAAATACTGGAAATAACCCAAATGTCTAACAACAAGGGACTGACTAAATTAAATATGAAGTACTATGGAGCATTGAAAAAAGAATAAATATCTCTACATACTGCCATGGGCTGATTGACAGCACCTATTGTTAAGTAAAGAAAGGTCAAACTGTATGTCAATTGTATCCCAATGTTCATTTAAAAAAAAGAGAAGTGGGGAAATCTGGATGCTACTCTATATCTAAGAATATATACATGTATATATTTAAATTTCTAAAAATCAAAAGCAAAAATAAAAGACTATCCGCACAGTGAGTTAGTGATACAATTACAGAGAGAAAAACTGTCTCAAACAACTTTAGACCACTGCAATTTGATTGTATATTCCTAGTGAGATATACCCTAAGGACAAAAAAAAAGGAACTGAAAGAATAGTTTTATTGTGGAGACAAAAGTGGCCCCATCTTGGATGCTAATCCACCATGTCGTCATCTGATTAGCCCCAGTCCCAGGAACGCCTCCTGATTCCTACTTTATTTACTGTCCCTAGTGTAAGAATATATCAACTTTGATGTTATCACACAAATTATAAGCTGTGACGCACATAGCATTCTAGCCTGTTCTGGACAGTTGCCTTTGTCTTGCACTAAGCACATATACTCTTTCCCTATGGTATATAAATAAGCCTTGGGTCTGAGATAACAGTGCGAGATCCACCTGTCTTGCAGCTGCCCAAGAGCAGGCTTCCGTCTGTAAGTTCCCCAGTGAAACACGCCTTAGCAACAAACTGGACTTGCCTACCTTGTTCTTTGGTTTCTCAGCTCCTTTGACCTTTGGGGGCCACTTTGCATGTATGGCCCTTTCATGGAAAAGCATTATCATATTAATGGCGATAATATTGATGTTGTTATTTTAAGACTGTGTATAAGTATTGAGGGATAAAGCAAACGTTGGTCGATTTGGAAACTAGAATATTTGGTCGGGAGAAAAAAACAGATGCAAGTATGTGAAGTTATATAAAAACACTGAGAGCCTCTATTTGAATGGAAAGTATCTTTTTCCTTGATCCTAGAGCTGGTAAAAAAAAATTTAAAAAAATAAAGAAAGTATTAGTATAAACAGACAATGAGTTTATTTTTAAAATATGTTTATATTTTCTTCCCACTAAAAGGCCCTAGAAACAAGAACCAATCCAGCAGCAACAAGCATCTCTGGCAGTCTATCATTTCCCTTCAACTGAAATCAGATCTTCTTAAAGAAATGCTTGGCTCTCAGACTGGGAACGGAAATGTACAAGATGTGCTTCGATATCTGGTCAAATCAGAAACTCAAAAAGCTATCAAAGTCTCTTTGGACTGTGTCAGAAAGAGGTGAAAAGACTCCCACTTGCCAAAGACGGGACAATTTGAGCATTCATAAGACTAATCACTATAATGGACTATAGTGAACTGAAGTACATCAAATATGTTTCAATCCATGATTTCATAATGGTATCTTAAATAATTGGTCGCTTGTGGAGGACTCTACGTAACCAACTCAACAACTTGAAAACTGGTAATAAAGAGAAATCCTTTATTCTGCCTTTCCTATAGAAACCATAACTGAACCCCATGGTTGATGAAGCAATTTCTCTTACACAAGCAGTCTACCTAATAACTGAAGAAAGGAGCGAGCAGGGCAGGAGAGTGGGTGTGGGGGAGAAAAAAGAATAAATACATAAATGAAGAAAGAAATAATAGAATTCCAATATTACTATTTTGCAACTCCTAATGAAATAATGGATTAGTCGATGATCACGAATGACTTAGAACATCACCAAAAGAGACGGACACAAGCAGACAGCATGTACCTCTGGGTGAATGTTCACAACATTCCCTGAGAAGGGGCCCTGCAAAAACAAACACTGAACTTCAATCTGATCAGACCTCTAGATGAAATTAGCAATTCACAAGAAGTCAGCGATCAGAGGAGTGTCTTACATAGCACCTCCAGGGTAGAATCAGCAAAACCCAGACTGGAAAGCTGTACAGTACAAAAAAAATCCATTTTCTCCAACAAACCTATTTCAAGAGGGGGAAAAAATGAGAGAGCTAACCTGTACATTAAAGGAGATATAAAAAACAATAATCAGGTCAGGCAAGGCACATCTGTAATCTCAGCACTTTGTCAGACCAAGGCAGGTAGATCGCTTCAATCAAGGAGTTCGAAACCAGCCTGGGCAATGTGGTATAAAACCTGTCTCTATCAAAAAAAAAAAAAAAAAAAATCAGCCGGGTGTGGTGGCCCATGCCCAAATCCCACTTTTGGGATTACAAATTATAATCCCAAATTTTGTATTCTGAAATCACACTTTTGGGATTATAGGTGTGAGCCACCATGCCTGGCCTTCGATCTTGATTTAAAGTAAACTTATTACGAAACAAAATATATGAGGCAGGGTACGGTGGCTCACACCTGCAATCCCAGCATTTTGGGAGGCTGAGGCAGGCAGATTGCTTGATCCCAGGAGGTCAAGACCAGCTTGGGCAAGACAGGAAGATCTCTACCAAAACTACAAAAATTAGCTAGGTGTGGTGGCATGCACCTGTAGTCCCAGCTACTCAGGAGGCTGAGGTGGGAGGATCACTTGAGCCCGGGAGGCAGAGGTTTCAGTGAGCTGAGATCACACCACTGCACTCCAGCTTGGGAGAATCTGAAAAAAATCAGAGACCCCTAAATTCCAAGCTATTTTGCCACTGTTCTGAGCCTAGGAATCTGCTGTTTTCAGTAAAGACCACTTCAGAGTCCAGAACCACAGGGTTGGACCATCTCCCTCCAATTGTCTCTTTACTGATCATGACCACCTCTCCCATTCTCTCCCAGCCTCCCCTCCTACCAGCATAGAGGAGAGAACCAGGAGAGTGGAGGATTCAGCCACCCAGAATGATGTGCAGGCGGGGCGTGGTATTTCACGCCTATAATCCCAGCACTTTGGGAGGCCAAGGTGGGTAGATCACTTGAGGTCAGGAGTTCAAGACCAGCCTGGTCAACATGGTAAAACTCCGTCTCTACTAAAAATACAAAAACTAGCCAGGCGTGGTGGCACGTGCCTGTAGTCCCAGCTACTTGGGAGGCTGAGGCAGGAAAATCACTAGAACCAGGAAGGCAGAAGTTGCAGTGAGCTGAGATAGCACCATTGCACTCCAGCCTGGGCAACAGAGTGAGACTCTATCTCAAAAATAATAAATAAATAAATAAATAAATAAAAACAGAATGAGGTGCAGACAAGAGGTTCCCTGAAAGTGGTTCCAGTTCATACTCTTACTCATCTGGAGCATAGATTTTGGCATTATTGGGGATGTCCCCAAATGAACAAGTTCTGCTCATGTGATATGAGTTGATGTTCCTGATCCCAACTGGGCCTGTGATTTGGAAAGAGAAGTGTTTAGGATACTCCTCCAAATACCACCAGCAGCTAGAATAACTGTAAGTGATGCACTGTGGGACTCCACTTTGAAAAAAGGGACACTCTGTGTCCACGACCTAGATGCTCCTAAGTCAGAAGAACTAAGAATTAGCCAATATCCCCACCTATGCCTACTATAGTCTCTCAAATCACTCAACCTTTCCTAGATTCAGTTGCTACTTCTGCAATAAGGGATAATATTTTATCTAGACCAGGAACCAGACTAGGATACCTCTTGAGGTCCCTAACTGCTTTGAGCTCTAACCTTATCAGCTACAATACTGGGAGGAACTCCTTATTTCAGAGAACAGAATAAACAGCAGGACCCAAGGAAGGGCAAGAATGGGCAAGTTAGGAAGTGTTGCTGGACATATGAAGCCAAGGGTTGAACCTGGTAGGCAGACACTAATTAAACAAATGTAATACTTACTGAGCTCTTACTACATGCCTGCTGCTAGGCTAGGTCCTTTTTATGCCTCATCCCATTATTACCCTCAACAATCTGTAGGCAACAACCCTCACTTCCTTCTCTCAAAGGAAACCTCACTCCGACATCTCAGGAACATGTCTCTTACGCATTTCGTATTTCAAACACCTGGAAGTTATATGTAATAACTGAAAAGTTTCATGCAATGTGCAGCAAAGATGCTGAGGGACAGCCCAGGTCTAATGTGGAAGGTCTGAGTTCATGGGGTGGGAGGAGGTGGGGGTCAAAGACCTCCATAATACAATGAACAAAGCTTCTTCCATCTTACCTTCAAGCAGCAGCCTATCTAAAAGAATTTGTCATCTTTGCAAAAGACATCCAGAAGATTCCAAGCTTCTCCAGTCAGAGCTTTGTGTTTGACAGAAGCCATGACCAGCCATTGCTCCATTCCCAGTGGCTCATCTGGCCATCTGCTATCTTGGGTTTTTTTGTTTGTTTGTTTGTTTTCAGAAACTCCAGCAAGCAACACATGAATCACATCTCTAAACAAAGGCTTGTTCCACCTCTTACAATTTTATAATAAATGAGTGAGGCTGAAAGTGGGGTGTATTTATTTGCAAGAAGTCACAATGTAAGGGGTGATTATAGAGCAATTGTTTTTTCTCTATCATTTCCTAACAAGAGTCATACCTTGAAGTTTCAATAATTACATACTGATAGTGACACACAAAAAAGAGGAATTTACATGGGAAGCAAAGATGTGAACTATATTACGTGGATTTTTTTTTTAAGATGGGGTCTTACTCTGTCATCCATGGTGGAGTGCAGTGGCACAAACATGGCTCATGGCAGCCTTGACATCCCCAAGCTCAGGTGATCCTCTCACCTCAGTTTTTTAAATTAAATTAATTTTTTGTTTTTTATTTTTAGTAGAGACAGGGTTTTGTCATCTTGCCCAGGCCAGTCTCAAACTCCTGGACTCAAGCAATCTGCCTGCCTTGGCCTTCCAAAGTGCTAGGATTACAGGCGTGAGCCACATATGGATTTTTCTGTCCCCAGTGAAGGAGCAACATTTGAACTGTGTTTACATTAGTCTAGCCAAAACAAAAACAAAAAAAACTCTTTCCCTCACCAAACCATATAATTAACAATGGGGCTTAACTCTGTAGCCACAATCATACCCAGCATTATTTCAGTGAATCAATGAAGCAATAATGGGGCACAGGGCTTTATTAGTTGTCTGTGCCTCCTGGCTATGGAGATTCAGTACGATAAACATGTCCATCTGAAAATTCAGTATTTCTGGTTGCTTCACTTGTCTGTGAAGACCCCTGACATTTAGGGACATGCAGTTTTGCTGAGGCTCAGACACAAGTGGCACTGCCCAGCTGGGCATGGTTGAGTGAGTATGGATGAGAGCTGACTACCCAGCTTCCCAAAGCGGCTCTGCATTTCTCAGCAGGTGGTCTCACAGGCAGAAACCTACGGGAAACACCTTTTTTAAAAAACCTTGTTTCTTTGTGAAAATCGCCTCCCAATAAAGCCACTTGCTTACACAGGTAATAGAAGCAATGAAAATGTCTGGCCAGGTGTGGTGGCTTACGCCTGTAATCCCAGTACTTTGGGAGGCCAAGGTCAGGAGTTTGAGACCAGCCTGCCAAATATGGTGAAACCCTGTCTCTACTAAAAATACAAAAATTAGCCGGGCATGGTGGCGGGCGCCTGTAATCCCAGCTACTCAGGAGGCT
This sequence comes from Homo sapiens, assembly GCF_000001405.40. Classification (NCBI taxonomy): domain Eukaryota; kingdom Metazoa; phylum Chordata; class Mammalia; order Primates; family Hominidae; genus Homo; species Homo sapiens. The sequence continues at coordinate 2,095,073 of NT_167249.2, read as the reverse complement.
GAGGCAGGAAGAATCACTTGAATCTGGGAGGCGGAGGTTGCAGTGAGCCGAGATCGCACCGTTACACTCCAGCCTGGGCAACAAGAGCAAAACTCAGTCTCAAAAAACAAAAAACAAAAAACAAAAAAAAAAGAAGTAATGAAAATGTGAAGAGATCTAAGAAAGTGACAGTTTTTAGGAATTGTAAATTGGGGTAAAGACTGGAATTTTTATCTCAATGATAGTTCAGCTCTATGATTCCAGCATAAATGCAGACATTTCGTAAAAGACTAGAGAAATGATTTCAGGAAATGTGTCCAGCCAGCTCAAACATTTCTCACAGAGTACGATACAAAGCTTAAGTGAAAGTAGGAACAGCAGATAACTTGTGGTAAGAGAATACAAACAGGAAGCAGCAGCCTCTCGAAGTAAATATTATTGAATCAGGCCTAGAAGACCTGGGGAAGTATTTATGTATCATCTAATTGGAAGATTTACAAAGCTCTCTAGTGTCTTTGGTAGAGGTCAAGAAAGGGTCGGCTCTCCTTCCTGCAAGCAGGCCGGTGGGATCACTGCACAGCAGCCTCCCTCTCCTTTTAGGATCCCTCATCTAACCCCACACCAATGGATTTTGGGGGTTGAAAGATTCTGGGCTGGGCACGGTGGCTGATGTCTGTAATCCCAGCACTTTGGGAGGCTGAGGCAGGAGGATCACTTGAGCCCAAGAGTTCAAGACCAGCCTGGGCAACATGGCAAGACCTTGTCTCTATAAAAATTTTTTTAAAAAATTAGCCAGGCATGGTGGTGTGAGCCTGTGGCCCCAATTACTCAGGAGGCTGAAGTGAGAGGATTGCTTGAGCCTGGGAGGTTAAGGCTGCAGTGAGCCAAGATCGCACCACTACACTACAGCCTGGGTGACAGAGTGAGACCCTCTCTAAATAACAAATAAAGACTCTGGGGCCGGGCGCAGTGGCTCACGCCCGTAATCCCAGCACTTTGGGAGGCCGAGGTGGACAGCTCACGAGGTCAGGAGTTCGAGACCAGCCTGGCCAACATGGTGAAACCCCATCTCTACTAAAAATACAAAAATTAGCTGGGCTTGGTGGCACGTGCCTGTAATCCCAGTTACTCAGGAGGCTGAGGCAGGAGAATCGCTTGAACCCGGGAGGCAAAGGTTGTAGTGAGCTGAGATCATGCCATTGCACTTCAGCCAGGGTGACAGAGTGAGACTCCATCTCAAAAAATAAATAAATAAATAAAAAATAAAGGCTCTGAACTCCCCAGAACAAGACTGTCTTGTGGTTAAGATGAGATGTGGGGGTGGGGTTGTAAAAGCAGTCAGCATGCCGAGCATAGAGCCCCTCTCCAACAGGAAAGTCTTCAGACTCATCTTCCAAGACCTCATCCTCTCTATATATAGATATTATCTAGTGCTGCATGCATATCCTCCCCTCCATTCCTACTTGATTTATTATTTTACTCTTGTTCAATGATATCTGGACTTATATGTCTTTTCTTGTAACTATCAAAGTCCCTTTGGATATAAATTTGGTGTACATAAATAACAATAGTGGGGCCGGGCACGGTGGCTCGCGCCTGTAATCCCAGCACTTTGGGAGGCCGAGGCAGGCGGATCACGAGGTTAGGAGATCGAGAACATCCTGGCTAACACAGTGAAACCCCGTCTCTACTAAAAATACAAAAAATTAGCCGGGCGTGGTTGCGGGCGCCTGTAGTCCCAGCTGCTCAGGAGGCCGAGGCAGGAGAATGGTGTGAACCCAAGAGGCAGAGCTTGCAGTGAGCCAAGATAGCGCCACTGCACTCCAGCCTGGGCGACAGAGCGAGAGTCCGTCTCAAAAAATAATAATAATAATTTTTTAAAAAATAACAATAGTAGTTACCAAGCATTGACTGTAATATGCCAAACAATGTATATACATTGTCTTTTATCCTCATGATGCTTGGAAATAGAATTTACAAGAAACAGAGGCACAGGAAAGGGAGGCAACTCATTCACTTTCTCACAGCTAGTAAGTGGTGGGCTCAGGGTTCAAACCCAAGTAGGAAGGAATCTATGTCGGACTCATGCTGTTAGTAAGTTGTCTTTAATGGTGTGTATATCATTCGTATTCCTCTCTCACCTACTACTAGTTACGCAGTTTTACAAAAGCTGTTTCCTAAGCTGAGCTAAAGGAAGGTTAACTACAAACACACCTGCGTGCACGCACACACCCTTTATTCAGCTAGATTACTTCATCCTTTCAACCAAAGGAATTGGGCCTCTTCCATGCCAGACACTGGCATGGTAAACATGTCAGCCATGGTCCCTGCATTTCTGGAGCTTCTATTTTCACTACCGCTATTCCCCAGGTATGTCTTAAACGATACCTTCTTTAGTAGGCATTCCTTGTCACCCCAGACTAAATTAGATGACCTCATTATACAGTACCATGCTTTTCTTTCATAACACCCAATACCCTGTAATTACTTGTTCAATGTCTTTCTTCTTGGGCCGGGTTCGATGGCTCATGCCTGTAATCCCTGCACTTTGGGAGGCCGAGGTGGGTGGATCACCTGAGGTCAGGAGTTCGAGACCAGCCTGGCCAACATGATGAAACCCCTGTCTCTACTAAAAATACAAAAAATTAGCCAGGAGTGGTGGCAGGTGCCTGTAATCCCAGCTACTCAAGAGGCCTGAGGCAGGATAATTGCTTGAACTTGGGAGGCGGAGGTTGCAGTGAGTCGAGATCACACCACTGCACTCCAGCCTCGGCAACAAGAGCAAAACTCCGTCTCAAAAAAATAAAAATAAAAAAGTCTTTCTTCTCATTGTCCTGTGACCTCCATGAGGATGAGACGGGCTGTCCTGTTCGCTGCTATAGCCAGTATCTTGTGTAGCACCTGGCACCTAAGAGAAAATTCATAATTGTTTGTTGAATGAATGGATGTGAACAAGCAGTAGGAAAAGACTTTCTCAAAGGTTAGGGAAGATGGTGCAGGGTTGGTGACTAACCCATATTTAGCTGATATCAGTTTCTGTGCCACTAAGTTCTAACCTCTCTCTGCTTAATAGGAACCAGCAGCCTCTGAGTTTAAGCCTCCCTCCATTGCACACACATTCCAGTGTCTGCCTTGCTAATGAGCTCTGCCAGGCTCAGCCCAGGAGCTGTACCAGTGAGTGGCAGCCTGCCCTGTGGAAGGGACTAATTAATCCTAAATGTCACATTGGTCTCATAGCTCTTGCCCTTTGCACGCATACCCAATCTGGGTATCTCTTTAATCACAATCTCTAGCCCTGGATTGAACCTCAAGAGAATCAACAATACCTGGAACGAATGACCACATCCCCGCTCCACCCCTCACTGTGTTGGGGTTACCTGGAGATGGTGTCTTTCCCACTGTACTCTGTAGGAGGAGGTCACACACCTGGGAATAAGAGTGGTCTCTGAAAGAGATGGCCATTCAGGTATTAGGCAGGCATAGGTGAGGTGGGTCATCAGATAGGGACCTGGAACTCAGAAGGGAGCCTTTCACAGGAGGGGTGGGAACCTCCATACGTCTCTAACCTTCTCTACTCAGACTCAGGGAGTTGCCATGGGAGGGAGCCAGGAAGGGGCAACTCCTGCAGTTGCCTTCAATGACTCCGATTCTGGTTACCTGCTGCTCAGTCCTTCACTTTCTCTTTCCTTAGCTCTTGGCCTTTAGGGAGGTCCTGTTTTAACAAGACTGTTCCAGGTGTGTGCAGTGCTGATGGCCTCAGCTATACTTGTTCATAGACATAAAGGGACAGAAAAACCTCTGGGGACAGGGTAGGGCTGCAACGTCCAGCTTCGCTCCCCAGGGAGATGCTCCCATCACAAAAGATGTACCACTTATTTTGTTACAGGAGGCTGCTGTTTCTTTGCAGCATCTTTTTGGTTGTTTTTGAGATGGGGTCTCATTCTGTTGCCCAAGCTGGAGTACAGTGGCATGATCATGGCTCACAGCAGCCTCAAACCCCTGGGGCAATCCTCCCACCTCAGCCTCCCAAGTAGCTGGTACTACAGGTGCTCACCAACACACCTGGCTAATTTTTATATTTTTTGTAGAGATGGGGGTACACCATGTGGCCCAGGCTGGTCTCAAACTCCTAGGTTCAAGTAATCTGCCTGCCTCAGCCTCCCACAGTGCTGGGATTACAGGCATGGGCCACCGAGCTCAGCCTTTTGGCAGCATCTACACAAGCTGCGGAAGGCCTCTGATTCCAGGCCTCAGATGGAGTGCCCCAAAGTGGCATGAGACTCAGCTCTGCAGATTTTTGCCCTGGGGCTTAGAGTTGTTCTGCTCTTCACAGATCCCAGCCTGGGCCAGATGGCATAACCCCATCTCTACCAAAAAAACACAAAAATTAGCCAGGTGTGTTGGTGAGCACCTGTAGTCCCAGCTACTTGGCAGACTGAGATGGGAGGATTGCTTCTGCCTTAGGAGTCTGGGGACCTTGCCAGAGGAAGGTCACCACCTGTCAGGCAAAGGGATTCCTACTGTAACCCCAGGGTCAGGAATCCAGTCCACAAACTGCTTTTCATCCCAAGACCTCAGGCTCAAAGTCAAAGTTCCCCTCTTCTGTGTTGTGCAGCACCACCCCCACCACACTCCCACCAATCCAGGGCACTTTTCTAGTTTCTTCATGAATTAGATCTCCCTTTTCTTGATCTGAAAGAAAAGGACCCTAATAACAAGCCAGAACTCCTCCCAGCAAAATCCCTGGGATTAATAACATTGGTACTTACTTTGTTCATGTGTGAATAATCAATATTCTCCAGCCTCTTTTCTGTCTCTTTTGTGCACACACTTTCCCATAGATACTATCGGTCTTCCCTCAGTCTGCAGCTGAAACTCTGTGACTGCTGGGGGCAGGCCCTGTTCTCTTCAGCTCTCACTCTGGACCCCAATGTTAGTGCTCTGGGCCGGGCGCGGTGACTCACACCTGTAATCCCAGCACTTTGGGAGGCCGAGTCTGGTGGATCACTTGAGGCCAGGAGTTCAAGACTAGCCTGGCCAACATTGCGAAACCCTGTCTCTACTAAAAATACAGAAATTGCCAGGCATGGTGGCACGTGCCTGTAATCCCAGCTACTTGGGCAGGAGAATTGCTTAAACCTGGGAGGCAGAGGCTGCACTGAGCCAAGATCACGCCACAGCATTCCAGCCTGAGCGACAGAGTGAGACTCTGTCTCAAAAAAAAAAAAAAAAAAAAAAAAGACAGTGATGTGTTAGCAAACCAGCTTGTGGGGGAGATGGGGATCCCTGATTTGTAGTAGTTATCCGTGTGTAGTTATTCCGTGGTGTAGATACTTCCTCCCATGACCAATTTCCAACCACTGACAGTTTAACAAACAGCTTGCAAATTTCCTGAATATTTAACACTCTCACTAGCAGGTCTGAGCTGGCTCCAGCACACCACTGGTTCAGGGGAATCACTGGAGCTTACCTGGGACCCAGGATGTCTTGACAAAATGAGTAACAGATCACATGGAAGTGAAGGGAAAGAGGGTACCTCACACGTCATTTCTGCCCGCTGGCTCCCCTGGCTCAGGGTACTGGAAAGAGTACGGGCTTTAGAAAAGCTCTAGGTTCAAGTCCTTGTGTGACTGCAAGTTTCAGCATCCAACTCTGCAAAATAGGATTGATAAAACCAACCCACAGGATTACTTTGAAGATAAAATTAGATACCTAGATTAAATGCCTAACAAATACATGGAGCAAGCTCTCAATATACATTTTCTTTTGCCCCCACCCTGTCCTAATTTTCTAGTAGTTCAAAGAATTCTTTTCCAAAGGACCCAATAGGAGAAGCTCAAATGCAACACTGTCAAAGAGGGGACAGGTAAGTCTACCCAATCCACCCCAGTGTGAGCTTTAACTTTGGACCCCTTCAAGGAGCACAGCTCTTTTCTACTTCAAGACTCTCCTTTGTCCTCATTCCAAGAGGTGAGTTCATCAAAATTTTCTGGGGTTCATGCCACCTAGCTTCATTCTCCTCTGATATGGCAAGCTGCACCCAGAATCAGAAATCACACTTCAAAAAGGGAGCAGCATGTCAGGGCCAGAGCAAGGGCATCGGCTGCCCCAAGGCTGCCCTTTGTACGGGGCAGAGCACATAAAGCTTTCCGCAAGCCCCAAATGCCTCCCACATCAAACCAGGTCCTATAGTCAATGGTTACACTGAACACTCATGGGGATTTATTGCACAATTTTGCAGCAGGAGGTTGTGGTCAGAGATTTAGAAGAACTTTCCAACTATAAAACTACCCTAGAAGGAAGTGGAATCTTTGACTCTGTGGCTCGAGTAGGGGAGGAGTCAGAAGCAGAAGGGACATGAGGCTCCCTAGATTTTAGTTTTGCTGCTCACAAACAATGAAATGATTGGGATCATACAGCAGAGACAGCAAATGAAACTTTGGAGAAATACGGTTTCTTTTTATTTTTTATTTTTATTTTTATTTTATTTATTTTTTTTTTTTGAGACGGATTCTCACTCTTTTGCCCAGGCTGGAGTGAAGTGGCATGATCTCGGCTCACTGCAACCTCTGCCCCCGGGTTCAAGCGATTCCCTGCCTCAGCCTCCCCAGTAGCTGGGATTACAGGTGCCTGCCACCACGCCCGGCTAATTTTTGTACTTTAGTAGAGACAGGGTTTCACCATGTGGCCAGGCTGGTCTCGAACTCCTGACCTCAGGTATTCCACCCACCTCAGCCTCCCAAAGTGTTAGGATTACAGGCGTGAGCACCACCCCCAGCCTGAGAAATATGGTTTCTTGTGACAAAGAGCTTTTGGTAACTCAGGAAATTTTCAGAAACTTTGAAGTATTATACAAAAACTCTTAATTAGAATTAGATGAGAAGGCCAGGTGCAGTGGCTCATGCCTGTAATCCCAACGCTTTGGGAGGCCGAGGCAGGCGGATCATGAGGTCAAGAGATCGAGACCATCCTGGCCA
>NT_167249.2:1998526-2053437 GCF_000001405.40 Homo sapiens | reverse complement strand
GGCCGGCCCAGCTTCCTCTTTTATGAGCTCATGGGCAAAGCCAGGCCAGGCAGAGGGTGCTAGAGATTGAGTGAGCTTGTTTTTTCCCTAACTTGGTTCTGAGTCACACATGGCATCTATCCTTCCCAGAAAACCACCTCAGGGCTCACCCCTTGGCAGCCCACCAAACCCCAGTACTGACACGCGATCCCCACTGGGTAGGGCCAGGGAGCTGCAGACAGGCCAGCCCCAGCACCCGCCTCCGCCCCTGGAGAGGCCTCTTGGGGAATGAACTGTCCCTCCCAACCTTGGAAGAAAAGAGCCTATGGCAACTGCTTTGGAGGGTAGGCTGGAGGCACGTCCAACTTTTGAGCACACATGGGAGACGCTGCTGAATCATGGGGTTTCAGAGGAGGAGAAACATTAGAGAGCCTTTAATTTATGCCTTTCACTTTGTAGATCAACTCATCCAGTAAATACGGGGTGTCTGAAAAGTCTGGACAAAAGGGGAAATATTTTATTTGTTGTGCATTTTTCCCCTATGATTATGTTTTGACTTCAATCTCCATCAAATTCTCCAATGGCTGACATTGGAGCTGTCTACAGAGAGATGCAGGCTGCTTCCCACGGGAACAGCACTGTAACAGTAATGACATCAACGATCCTGTATTTCTAGCCTTTTCAGCAGCCTGTATTGATTGACAGGCACAGTTCTAGGCACTGAAAATAGAGCAGTACACAAGATAGATAAAGTCCTACTCTGGTGGAGTTATAATCTGGTGGGAAAGAAACCAAGACCAAAGGAGGAGCCACAACACTGGGGTCCTAAGAAGCCGGCTTTGGCAGAAGGACAGGAATGCTGGGCCCTTTCCCAGCTCCCGGCTCAGCTCATAGCAGCCTCCAGGGTAGCTGGGTTGAGTTGGGCTGGGTCAGGCTGAGCTGCATCCCAGGGTAGGGTCATCGTGCCACTTTTGTGACCTTGCCTTGGTGCTCCCGGAACTCTTGCCATGGTTTTGCGTCAGGGGAACTGCCAGGGCCTGATTTTGGGCCTCCTAGAGCCTAGATGAATATCTTTAGGGGTCATTTGTTAACTTGCTGCCTAGAACTCACCACCCCACTCTACCCCCATGCCTCTGGAGAATTGTTCCAGCTAAAATGTAGGTGGGAGGGGATGTTTAAAATCACCTGTTCCTTGTCAGTATAGTGGTGAGTAAAAACAAATTTTTTTTTTTGCTGGGTGTGGTGGCTCACGCCCGTAATCCCAGCACTTTGGGAGGCCGAGGGGGCGGATCACGTGAGGTCAGGAGTTTTCCAGACCAGCCTGGCCAACATGGTGAAACCTTATCTCTACCAAAAATACAAAAATTAGCCGGGCATGGTGGCATGCGCTACTCGGGAGGCTGAAGCAGGAGAATCGCCTGAACCCGGGAGGCAGAGGTTGCAGTGAGCCGAGATTGTGCCACTGCACTCCAGCCTGGACGACAGAGTAAGACTTTCTTTTTTTTTAAGACGGAGTTTCACTCTCGTCGCCCAGGCTGGAGTGCAGTGGTGCAATCTCAGCTCACTGCAACCTCTGCCTCCCTGGTTCAGGCAATTCTCCTGCTTCAGCCTCCCGAGTAGCTGGGATTACAGGCACACGCCACCACGCCCAGCTAATTTTTGTATTTTTGGTAGAGACGGGGTTTTGCCATGTTGGCCAGGCTGGTCTCGAACTCCTGACCTCGTGATCCACCCACCTCAACCTCCCAAAGTGCTGGGATTATGGGCGTGAGCCACCACGCCCAGCCAAACTAAATTTTTTAAATAAATAAAGGCCAGACTTTGTGGCTCACGCCTGTAATCCCAACACTTTGGGAGGTTGAGGCGGGAGGATCGCTTGAGCCCAGAATTTTGAGACCTGCCTGGGCAACATGGCAAGACCCTGTCTCTACCAAAATAAATAAAAATTAGCTGGGCATGGTGGCACGTTCCTGGAGTCCCAGCTACTCAAGAGGCTGAGGTGGGAGGATCACTTGAGCCCAGGAGGTTGAGGTTGCAGTGAGCCATGTTTATGCCACTGCACTCCAGCCTGGGTGAGAGAGTGAGATCTTGTCTCAAAAAATAAATAAATACATACATAAAAAAATAAAATCACTCACATTAGTTGAACAGGAACTAGGAATGCAGAAGTCTTTGCTTCTCTGGAAAATAAAGAGCCACAAAACCTGCCTGATATGGAGAGGGAGGGAGGGCAGAGTAAAAAGAGAAAGAACTTGTATCTCCTGGTGATGTTAGCAGTTAGAGGTTACTTTCTCATTCCAGTTCCCTACTCCTGGGTTGGCTCACTGCTGCCCATCCCTGTTCCAAAGCAGTCCCTCTTCTCATAATTATAATAATGCCCCTGCTCCATGCAAGAAGCACCTACTATGTGCCCAGAAGGAGTAAATTTATATGCTTAACCTTTGCAGTTACCTAGAGGTCAATTTGCCCATTTATCAATTGAGGAAACAGATTTTCAGCAACATTAAGTAACTGGCCCAATATTGCCTAGTTAATAAGTAGCAGAGCTGGCACTTAAACCCAATTTCGTCTAACACCACTAGATTACAATATGTTCTTTTTGCTATTCCGTGTTTCCTTTCTATCTCAAACCCATCTCAAGTCACCAAGTAGTTATTGAGGATCTACTGAATACCAGGTGCAGCTAAAAAGCTTTCTCTTTGTCATTCCCTACCCCCAGGACCCTGGTGCAGTCCCTTCACCCTGCTTTCCTTTCTCAGATGCTCCCATTTCCAAATCTCTGCCTCCCTTTCCCCTGCCCATTCTGCCTCCGCCAGTGCCCATTCTTGCCGTCCCCCGTTCTGGGCCTGTGGTCAGCAGTGCAGCAGTACCCAGGTGAGGCAGCAGGCCTGACTCACTCCTATGTCAGGGATTGTAAAGGGCGCGGGCCAGGGCTTTGCTGTCGCTGTCGTCACTGCACAATTGTTCCTGATTCAGCGGCGGATCACCTGAGCCACACCTGAGTGCCCCCAACCTCCTCTTTGAAGAGCAAACATGGGGGCCTCTAAAGGAACATGGCTAGATAAACAGACCTCTCTGCAGATGAGGTTTAGCTCCTCGGAGGAGACAGATTTAAGAATATTTATTAAGTTCCTACTAGGTGACAGCCAAGTACTGGAGATACTACAGAGATCTAATGAGAAAAAGGTCAGATGTGGCCCTGTACACTCGTGGAGATTATATTCCAGTAGGCGGGACAAACAACAGCAAAAAGCAAATACATAAAATGATTCCCCAACGTGATATGTGTCATGAAGAAAAACAAGGGGCTGAGAAGGAGGCTAGCAGTGGTGATGGATCAAGGCAAAGGTCAAACGAGGGAAATGAAGGAACATGGTGATCTGGGGGAAGATGGGAAGGAAATGAGGAGGAGAGCTGGAAATGGAGGAGGCTAAGGGCCTGTTTCTCCAGTATCAGGGCAGTGGGAGCCAGTCCAGTTGCTCGTCTCAGCCCCTGGCACTTTCTGGCCTTAACTCATTCCCCAGCCTGCACTCCCCCACCCCCTTATTGGCTTAATGATTCACCCCCAACATTTCCCTAGCTTCCTGTGTGGCAGGAAGGAGCAGGAGCAGAGCCCTAGGGCTCTGAGGGTAGCAGGAATGGGGATGGGATTGGTTGGGAATGGTGAGCAGTCCGGGTTCTCAGGTCTTCTCTTTGTCCCATTCTGGTCTTGCCACAAAGAAAGGTCTCTCTGTGCCGGGAGGACAGCGAGGATAACTAGACCCAGCTGGAGGCCCAGATTCCAGATGTGGGAGGTAGTGGCAAAACAAGATCCTGGCATCCCCTTCATTTCCCCTCCTCTGCCTAATGCCCTAGAGAAATTTTCCATCATAAACAAGTAATGCATTCCTAACCTTTGGTGCTTCTCTCTCTCTCCCACCCACTAGTTTTCTTCCATCATCACTATCTCCCCCTACTCCCAATTTATGTTTATGTGAGTGTGAGGGTCTGTCCACATGTGTAAGTAGTCATGGGTTTATGTTGGTCATTGTGTAGCGTGCGAGTTGCCTTGGAATAAGGATGTTGGGGGTGGTGGGCTCCCTGTGCTTGGGTGTAAATGTAAGAATGATGGCAGGTGTGAAGACAGGCGTGGGAAAGCAATGCGCCTTTGTTTACAGAGGAGGTGTGTTTTATGCCAGCCAGGAAGAAGTGTGTAATGTGGAAGGGATCTTGTGTATTTAGATAAGAGTAGTGAGTATAAAATAAAGTGACTTGTAGGCCCAGGAATTGTACACAGAGCAGTAGTGTATTTCTAGCCGGTTGTGGCCTGTCCTCTTATTTGTGTTCCTACATGTTCTTGATTGAAAAATCCTTTTAAGTGTTTCCTAAGTGGGAGGGGAGAAAAGTGTTTCCTGTTTGGTGTCTGTGTAAGAATTGTCCCAGCTTTTCTAAAGATGTTGTACATTTGTATGAGTGGTTTGGAGGAGTGTAGCCACATCTCAGAAGCTTGGTGTGACCCAGCCAAGGTGGGAATACTACATGCACACTTACAGTTGTACATTTCACCTGGCATTTAACAAGATTATTGAGCAACTGCTGCCTACAAGGTACCATGCTGGGTTCTCTGGAGGACACAAAGATGTGTATGACACAGCCTCCAGTGGAAGAGATCATATATGTATTCACTTTGTGCACCAGGCTTAAAATGATGGTAGAAAGATCTGAGCCAGATGTATTTCAAATCTCTGGAGTCATCTCAGATCTTTTCATCCTCTTGCTGTCGGCAACTCTCCCTCTCCCATGCTCCCTTCCCCTAATGATATCCATCTCATTGCCCAATTCTGATTATCTTATGCTAGGAATGTCTCTTAGGGCCACCTTCTCAGGCTCTTGTTATCATCTACCTGAGCCCCTCCAATAGCCTCCTGTCTACTGCCTTAGTCTCTACCCGTCCAGAGCATCACTCCTCATCCCAATCAGTTTCCTGCTTGAATTTTCCTCCCTTTATCTCATCCAGCAACCCACAAGCTCTACAGTCTAGAGTGAAACCCAGGCTCCTGACCTGGCAGCTCTGCTCTCCCCACTCTGCCCAATTCCACTCCTTTCCAGCCATTATTACTTCCCACTACTCCGTTACAGGAAACTTACTCTGAGATTGTTTTTCTTGTGATTCCCCAAACACATCCTGTACTTTTCCAGCTCAAGGTCTTTGCTAATTCCATTCTTACAGTCATCCTCCACATCTGAATTTGTCATATCCCACCCACTGTTCAAGGTCACCTTCAGTGCCACTCTTCCATGAAGCCTCCCCTGATTGATTGGACAGATGTGAACACTAGCTCTTTTGGGTCCCCCCCTTAACACTTAGTCTTCAGTTTTCTTAGGTTTTTTTGTTTTTGTTTTTGTTTTTTGTTTTGTTCTTGTTTTTTTGAGACAGGGTCTCACTCTGTCACCCAGGCTGGAGTGCAGTGGCACGCTCTCAGCTTGCTGCAACCTCTGCCTCCTGAGTTCAAGCGATTCTCCTGCCTCAGCCTCCCGAGTAGCTGGGATTACAGACATGCGCCACCATGCTTGGCTAATTTTTGTATTTTTAGTAGAAACAGGGTTTCACCATGTTGACCAGGCTGGTCTCGAACTCCTGACCTCAAATGATCCACCCGCCTCGGCCTGCCAAAGTGTTGGGATTACAGGTGTGAACCACCGTGCCTGGCCTTTCTTAGGATCTTCAAGAAAGCTTGCCTTTCCTTCAGGCAGAAACTCAATATAACAAAAAAAGAGAGAGAGAGAGAGCAACAGAGACAGACAGATAGAGAGCTCTCCTGGCCATGGTTCCCTCCTCATGCCGGAGGGTAAGGCCCTCATGGCTGGAGTATCAGCTTTATCTGGCTTTCCTCAGGCAGCTGCATGGCACAGCACTTATACTGAAACTAGCCTCAGGACTCTCAACAGTAGTACCCTCAACAGAGGGCGCCTGAAACAGGTGAATGCTCAAAAGATGTTAAATTCTGCACGGTGGCTGCCAGCACTTTGGGAGGCCGAGGCAGGCAGATTGGTTGAGCTCAGGAGTTCAAGACCAGCCTGGGCAACATGGCAAAACCCTGGCTCTACAAAAAATTTTATATATATATATATATATATATATTAGCCAGGCATGGTGGTGCTCACCTGTGGTCCCAGCTACTCAGGAGGCTGAGGTAGGAGTATGGCTTGAGCCAAGAGGCAGAGGTTGCAGTCAGCCGAGATCATGCCACTGCACTTCAACCTGGGCGACAAAGCCAGATCCTGTCTCAAAACAAAAAAAAAAAGTTAAATTCTGTGTCCATGAGCAGCTGTCTGTAAGGAAGTTATGGAAATGTGAATCTGCTTTAAGTTGAGTAATTACCATTACTGTAACATTTGTATAATGTCTCACAATTTAGAATGTTTGTCCCATAAATTTGGTTGTTTGACTTACAGCAAGGGGCAAATCTGGGTGGCTGCTAACCTATTGCCTTTGTATTTGTGGCCCTCTGCACCAGCCTTTATGTGAATATTTCTGCACGCTCCTAAGAGAGTAGTTTTGCTGAACTGTCCCTATACAGTCTTTGCACCTTTACTGTGTACATGTGTGTTGGTAGGTGTACGTGGTATGTTTTCCTTTTTTTCCAGGATTGCATTCTTTTTATGGCTGAATAATATTTAATTGTGTATTGTTGTTGTTGTTGTTGTTATTTTATAGTGACAAGGTCTCACTATGTTGCCCAGGCTCCTGAGCTCAAGTGATCCTCCCACCTTAGCCCCCCAAAATGCTAGGATTACAGGCAAGAGCCACCATGCCCCACCATTGTGTATTACTTTTTTAATCTTTCTATCCTTCCCTCCCTCCCCAACTTTTATTTTAAATTCTGGGGTATATGTGCAGGTTTGTTACCTAGGTATACTGCATGATGCTGAGGTTTGGGGTATGAATGATCCTGTCACCCAGGTACTGAGCATAGTACCCAATAGTTAGTGTTTCAACCTTTGCCTTACTCCCTCCGTCCTTCTTCTACTGGTCTCAAGTTGCTATTGTTGCCATCTTTATGTCCATGAGTTCCCAATGTTTGGTTCCCACTTATAAGTGAGAATGTGTGGTATTTGGTTTTCTGTTCCTGAGTTAATCCGCTTAGGATAATGGCCACCAGCCGCATCCATGTTGCTGCAAAGCACATAATTTTGTTCTTTTGTATGGCTACGCGGTGTGTGTCTTCATGTGTGCTCAGGCAGGCAGGTTTGTGTCTGTGTGTGCTAGTGTGTTCATTTCTCCCTTAATCTTGACTATTTCTGTAACAATTTCCTTCTTGGGGAGTTTATATTCTAAGGATACCTACAAGTGCATGAATGCGTGCATATAACTGGGTCAGTATTGCAGCAGGATGGCCTGATCTCCAATAAAAAGCCCTCTTGGCAGGGCACGGTGGCTCACGCCTGTAATCCCAGCACTTTGGGAGGCCGAGGCGGGCAAACCAAATACCATACATTCTCACTTATAAGTGGGAACCAAACATTGGGAACTCGTGGACGTAAAGATGGCAACAATAGCAACTTGAGACTACTAGAAGAAGGACGGAGGGAGCGAGGCAGATCACGAGGTCAGGAAATCGAGACCACCCTGGCCAACAGGGTGAAACCCCGTCTCTACTAAAAATACAAAAATTAGCTGGGCGTGGTGGCGCGTGCCTGTATTCCCAGCTACTCAGGAAGCTGAGGCAGGAAAATCGCTTGAACCAGGGAGTCAGGGGTTGCAGTGAGCCGAGATCGCGCCTCTGCATTCCAGCCTGGCGACCGAACGAGACTGCTCCATCTCCAAAAAAAAAAAAAAAAAAAGGCCTGTGAGGGATCCTGTGGCTAAAGTGAGCCCCTCTCCAGGTGCCACATGCCTCGACATGTGCCTGCAGCCCGGGATCTCACCCACCCCCACTCACGACTCACACACTCACAACGTGCAGTTGGGCGCCTAGGATTGTGCATGTCAAGTCTCCACCCACTCCCTTTGTTTAATCGTCGGAATTTCCAGCCCGCTGCTGCCAACCGCTCCCCAGCTGCGGGAGGAGGAGTTAGAAGGACCCGCCCAATTTTCAGGAGCACATAAATTACCTCTGCCGGCAGCCGACCCTCACTTGGCCTTACACTCCGCTCGGCTCACCATGTGTCACTCTCGCAGCTGCCACCCGACCATGACCATCCTGCAGGCCCCGACCCCGGCCCCCTCCACCATCCCGGGACCCCGGCGGGGCTCCGGTCCTGAGATCTTCACCTTCGACCCTCTCCCGGAGCCCGCAGCGGCCCCTGCCGGGCGCCCCAGCGCCTCTCGCGGGCACCGAAAGCGCAGCCGCAGGGTTCTCTACCCTCGAGTGGTGAGTATCGCCGAAGTGGGCATTCGCGGGGTGCGCTGCCCTGGAGTCACTGGGGAACGACCCGACTCCAGAGGCCTCGACCTGACCTGTCTCCTGTTTTGTCTCCCCTTAGGTCCGGCGCCAGCTGCCAGTCGAGGAACCGAACCCAGCCAAAAGGCTTCTCTTTCTGCTGCTCACCATCGTCTTCTGCCAGATCCTGATGGCTGAAGAGGGTGTGCCGGCGCCCCTGCCTCCAGAGGACGCCCCTAACGCCGCATCCCTGGCGCCCACCCCTGTGTCCCCCGTCCTCGAGCCCTTTAATCTGACTTCGGAGCCCTCGGACTACGCTCTGGACCTCAGCACTTTCCTCCAGCAACACCCGGCCGCCTTCTAACTGTGACTCCCCGCACTCCCCAAAAAGAATCCGAAAAACCACAAAGAAACACCAGGCGTACCTGGTGCGCGAGAGCGTATCCCCAACTGGGACTTCCGAGGCAACTTGAACTCAGAACACTACAGCGGAGACGCCACCCGGTGCTTGAGGCGGGACCGAGGCGCACAGAGACCGAGGCGCATAGAGACCGAGGCACAGCCCAGCTGGGGCTAGGCCCGGTGGGAAGGAGAGCGTCGTTAATTTATTTCTTATTGCTCCTAATTAATATTTATATGTATTTATGTACGTCCTCCTAGGTGATGGAGATGTGTACGTAATATTTATTTTAACTTATGCAAGGGTGTGAGATGTTCCCCCTGCTGTAAATGCAGGTCTCTTGGTATTTATTGAGCTTTGTGGGACTGGTGGAAGCAGGACACCTGGAACTGCGGCAAAGTAGGAGAAGAAATGGGGAGGACTCGGGTGGGGGAGGACGTCCCGGCTGGGATGAAGTCTGGTGGTGGGTCGTAAGTTTAGGAGGTGACTGCATCCTCCAGCATCTCAACTCCGTCTGTCTACTGTGTGAGACTTCGGCGGACCATTAGGAATGAGATCCGTGAGATCCTTCCATCTTCTTGAAGTCGCCTTTAGGGTGGCTGCGAGGTAGAGGGTTGGGGGTTGGTGGGCTGTCACGGAGCGACTGTCGAGATCGCCTAGTATGTTCTGTGAACACAAATAAAATTGATTTACTGTCTGCAGTCTTGAGTGTATCTTTGCAAGCGCCGACTCCCCACTCCTCCCGGCCTTCAGATGGCAAGGACCGGCGGGAGGCGCCGTGGCCGAGTCCCCAGCCCGCGCACCTCCCTGGGCCCAGGAGCCCCTTTTCCTGGAGTCACAGAACCCAGCATCCGGTTGCCGGATGTAGTCTTTCATTGCCCAGTCTGCGGTTTTCCCAGGTAGTTGCCCCGCGGCGAATCCGAGATGTGGCAATCACCCTTACGCCAGGGTGCCAGGCGGAGGTCAAGTCCCTCACCCGGGGGCGGAGCGTGGCGCGGCGTGGGCGGGATTCCCGGCTCAAGAAGGGCGGTGACTGGGGCGGCAGGGATGTGGCCCTCCCCGGGCTAACCAGGCAGCCCGGCTGGGCCCGAGAGCCAGCGGGCGGGCGGGCTGCGGACTCTAGCGGGGCCTGCCGGGAAAGGGGCGGGCCGAGCGCACTGGGCCGAGGCGGGGCGAAGTGGGGGTGCTTAGTCCGTTGCGGGGGGCGGGGTCGCGTCTGCCGCAGCAACGGGGTGCGGCAGGGTGGGGAACGCGGGAGCGGGGCCAGCTCCCAGGAAAGCTGGTCTGCGAGCGGCCCCTGCCCGGCTCCCAGGTCCCTGCGCGACCCCGCCCTTCCCGAGACCCCAGCCGGGCTGCCGCCCGCGTCCCGGAAGGTGAGTGGGGGAGGGGAGATGGAGCCTGGGGCTGCCGAGAAGCAGGGAGAGAGGGGAAAGGTCTGCAGGCCTCTGGGCGCGGGGGACCTTTATCAAAGGGAGCGGCGAGGGGAAGGGAGGGACCATACGCAGGCGGAGAAGAGGTAGCTGGGGATCTTAAGGATTTTGTAGGGAAAAGCCTTAGCGGACCCATGGGTGTAGAAGGGACGGGCCGTGGCGGATGCAGACTGGGAGGGCCTGACGGGAAAGGGAAAGGATGGGCCCCTGTGGACGCCACAGCGCGCCTTCCCCATCCGCAAAGGCTTTCCCTCCCTCTCCTCCAGCTCCAGCCTGAACCATGTTTTTCACTTGTGGCCCAAATGAGGCCATGGTGGTCTCCGGTAAGTACTGTTGTTCCCTTCCCAGCCAGTGACCCCAGAACCCCTGTGAGTCTGGCCTCTGCCCCTTCTCCCTCTCCCTACCAACTTCCCAGCACCAGACTTCTGCCCCTTGATGGCCACGAACTGCCCAGTTTGATTCCCACCATTCCAAGGCCCAGACTGCTTCCCCTCCAGCTCCCAGATTCTCTCCTGTGGGTTGCTGTCCCCTCACCCCCGCCAGTTCCTCAGTCTTCCACATTCAAGCTCTGCCACCGTTCCTCACTGCCCCACACCTTGCAGGGTTCTGCCGAAGCCCCCCAGTCATGGTGGCTGGAGGGCGTGTCTTTGTCCTGCCCTGCATCCAACAGATCCAGAGGTAGGCAAGAAGGGAACCAGGGAAGGGGGACCTCCGTTTTCTCTTTTTCCTCCTCTTCTTACTGTCTGTCCCTTCTTTTTCCCCTAGGATCTCTCTCAACACACTGACCCTCAATGTCAAGAGTGAAAAGGTTTACACTCGCCATGGGGTCCCCATCTCAGTCACTGGCATTGCCCAGGTGAAGCTTTCAGAGCCTTTTCCCCACAGTCCACTTCCCCATCACCCTCTCTCCCAGACATTAAGACATCTTCTGGCCACAGTCTTCTCAACCCTTGCCTGCAGAGAAGTTCCTCTGCTAGTCTCATCTTTTCCAGGCACCCCAAGGCACTTGCCTCCTCCTCCTTTCTTTCCCTGAAATGGAAGAAGCATTTCTTAGAGGGCTCTCCCTTCTCTCTCTGCTTTTTCTCTGACTTCATGAGACCCCCACCACACCTTTCCTACCCCTACTCTGGCTACAGGTAAAAATCCAGGGGCAGAACAAGGAGATGTTGGCGGCCGCCTGTCAGATGTTCCTGGGGAAGACGGAGGCTGAGATTGCCCACATTGCCCTGGAGACGTTAGAGGGCCACCAGAGGGCCATCATGGCCCACATGACTGTGGAGGTTGGCCTAGGGGCAGGGAACCATCTGGAAGGATGTCAAAATGAGGGGGGCCCAAGGCCCACACTAGTCTGTGAGAGACAGTGGATCCAAGAGCATACATCCCGGCCGGGCAGGGTGGTTCATGCCTGT
Organism: Homo sapiens; assembly: GCF_000001405.40. Classification (NCBI taxonomy): domain Eukaryota; kingdom Metazoa; phylum Chordata; class Mammalia; order Primates; family Hominidae; genus Homo; species Homo sapiens. Next base: position 2,041,856 of record NT_167249.2, on the reverse strand, counting down.
AATCCCAGCACTTTGGGATGCCAAGGTGGGCAGATCACTTGAGGTCAGGAGTTCGAGACCAGCCTAGCCAACCTGGTGAAACCCCTTCTCTACTACAAATACAAAAATTAGCTGGGTATGGTGATGGGTGTCGGTAATCCCAGCTACTTGGGAGGCTGAGGCAGGAGAATCACTTGAACCCAGGAGGCAGAGGTTGCAGTGAGCAAAAAAAAAAAAAAAAAAAAAAACTTACATCCCTTCTCCCCACCATCCTGTTATCACAGGAGATCTATAAGGACAGGCAGAAATTCTCAGAACAGGTTTTCAAAGTGGCCTCCTCAGACCTGGTCAACATGGGCATCAGTGTGGTTAGCTACACTCTGAAGGACATTCACGATGACCAGGTAAAACTAGGCAATTGATCCTTCCCCACTTCCTTGCTCCCATCTCTTAAGCCCTCCAAAGGACTAATTTCTACATCTCTCCCACAGGACTATTTGCACTCTTTGGGGAAGGCTCGAACAGCTCAAGTCCAAAAAGATGCACGGATTGGAGAAGCAGAGGCCAAGAGAGATGCTGGGATCCGGGTGAGAGAGATGGGGGTTGCTTAGTGGGAAAGGGGATAGAAGTGGCACAACTGAGAAGAAGCAGGGGTGCTGGGTGAGCAGGGAAAATACATGAGGCAGAAAGAGAACCTTGGTGGGAAGCAGGCTGTCACCGTGGCCTTTCTCCCCCTGCCCTGACATTTCCTACCTGATCTCTGCTTGGACAGGAAGCTAAAGCCAAGCAGGAAAAGGTGTCTGCTCAGTACCTGAGTGAGATCGAGATGGCCAAGGCACAGAGAGATTACGAACTGAAGAAGGCCGCCTATGACATCGAGGTCAACACCCGCCGAGCACAGGCTGACCTGGCCTATCAGCTTCAGGTCAGAGCCACTGCCAGGCCACTCTCTGCCCCTTCCCCATTCCTCTCAGGCTGTCCATCTCAGGACACCACTACACTATTTCTCATACTTTAACTTTGGTCTTATTCTGGCTCTCCATCTCTGGACCAACTCCCCCATATGAGGAGAGATTTAAAAGACTCAGACGTTACAGCTGAAAAGCTTTAAAGAAAAGGCCAGCCGGGTGTGGTGACTCATGCCTGTAATCCCAGCACTTTGGGAGGCCAAGGCGGGCTGATTGCTTGACCTCAGGAGTTCAAGGCCAGCCTGGGCAACATGGTGAAACCGTGTCTATGCGAAAAATACAAACATTAGCCAGGCATGGCAGCTCGGGCCTGTAGTCACAGCTACTTGGGGTATGAGGCAGGAGGATTGCTTGAGCCAGGATGCGCAGGTTGCAGTGAGTCGAGATCACACTACTGCACTCCAGCCTGGGTGACAGTGAAATCCTGTCCAAAAAAGAGAAAAAAAAGGCCACGCGCGGTGGCTCATGCCTGTAATCCCAGCACTTTGGTAGGCCAAGGCAGGTGGATCACAAGGTCAAGAGTTCGAGACTAGCCTGGCCAACATAGTGAAACCCTGTTTCTACTAAAAATACAAAAATTAGCCAGGTATGGTGGCACGCACCTGTAGTCCCAGCTACTTGGGAGGCTGAGGCCGGAGAATTGCTTGAACCCGGGAGACAGAGGTTGCAGTGAGCTGAGACCACGCCATTGCACTCCAGCCTGGGTGACAGAGTGAGACTCCATCTCAAAAAAAGAAAAAAAAAAAAGAGAAGGCCAAGAAGGGATATGATCAATAAGGCTGATCATATGTTTGGAGCAGGCTGTGCCCGTGCAAAGGCATCTGACTGAGAAAGTGGATCCGAGCTCAGATCCGGCCCATGCCCCTCTAATCAAGCAGTGCATTCTGACATGGGTCTGCATCTACACAGAGGAATTTCTGATTTGCACAGAGGCATGCTATGGGCTAGCGGCAGCCCTGGTTAATTAAAAAAGGGTATGAAGAAGGAAAACATGGACTTGGACATTGAATCCTGCAAAGTGAGATATGGGCAGCCCTTGATATTGCCAGGAAGTATAGTTGATCTTCATTCTTCATTATTCGTATCTGAGAATTTGCCTATTCACTAAAATGTATTGGTAACCTCAAAAGGTTACCAATAAAGTCGCAGCACTTTCAGGATCTTTTGCAGACACGCACAGTACCCAGGTGAGGTTGATCAAGGAGATGCTCTGCTGCCTTGTTTCAGCTCTCATACCGTAAGCCGTGTTATTTTCACAGTATATTTACTGCCGTGTTTTTTGCATTTTTGTGCTTTTTATTGGTGAATTCACTCTTTAAAATGGCCCCCAAGCATCAGTGCTGTAGTGCTGTCTAGTGTCCTTTAGTGCAAGCGGGCTATGATGTGCCTTATGGGAGAAATACATGTGTTAGGTAAGCTTCGTTCATGCATAAGTTATACTGCTGTTAGCTGTGAGTTCAGTGTTAATGAATCAACAATATATTTTACATAAGGTGTCTTTAAACAGAAACACATATAAAGCAAGGCTCTATGTTGATCAGTTGATGAAAATGTTTTGACCAGAGGCTCACGGGAACCTAGCCTGTATTTCTTCTAGGAACAAATTAGGTATTAACTAATTCAGCATTCATGGCTACTTTATAGAACAGAACTACCAAGAACAATGAAAATCAACTGTACTTTGAGACCTTTACCCAAAGGATAGCAATATTATGCATTTTGTTTTTGCCAAGAGTTGGTACAGGCTGAAAGCATAATGAAGGTAAAAACATCTTTTGTTATTATGTTAAATTCCTGGGTGACTTGACAGGTTGAACATGGCATACAGCTTTGCAACTCAAACTGTGTTCTACCCAGCAGCAGCTGCAGCATCACTGCGAAGCTTGTTAGAAATACAAAATTGCAGGCCCTGGCCCTGACCAGCTGAATCAGAACCTGCATTTTAACAAAATCTCAAGGTGAATTCCTAGGTGATTTGTATGCACATTGGAGTTTGAGTTTGAAAAGGGTTACCATGATGGAAACTGCTAGCTTGCAGTGAAGCTATGGATAAGGTTCTTAACCTTCTAAACATGACCTTACTTGTCTGCAGATTAAGGGATTGGACTGGTTGGACTCTTTTCAACTTTTATCAGTTTCTCGTTATGCACCAGGCAGTGTGCTAGGTGTTCAGGAAAGAAGGATTTATTCAACAAATATCTGTTAAGTGCCTTCTATGTGCTAGACACCATTTTGGAGGTGAGGCTATAAATATGGAGGTGAGGCAGAAAAGATTCCTGCCCTTATGCAGCTTACATTATGACACAGGAAACAGCTAGTAAGCAAGTAAATGACCTTCCCAGGCTATAATTCTTGTTTAGGTGCTGTGAAGGAAATAAACAGGGTGATGTGAAAAACTGTGGGAGGGGAGTTAGTATATTAGGTTAGCGGGTGGTAGAGAAAGTTTCTATGAGGAAGTGGTGTTTGAGATCAGACTTGGAGATAAGAAGGAACAATGTACAGTTCTGAGCCAAGAATATTCTAGCCTGTGCTTTTTAAGTAGTCATACTTAAAAAGTGGCTGGGCGCGGTGGTTCATGCCTGTAATCCCAACACTTTGAGAGGCTGAGACAGGAAGATCACTTGAGGCCGGGAGTTTGAGACCAGTCTGGCCAACAGTGAAACCCTGTCTCTACCAAAAATACAAAAAATATTAGCCGGGTGTGGTGGTTTGAGCCTGCAGTTCCAGCTACTTGGGAGGCTGAGGCGTGAGAATCGCTTGAATCCAGAAGGCACAGTGAGCCGAGATTGCGCCACCGCACTCCAGCCTGGGCGACAGAGCGAGACTCCTTCTAAGATAGATATATGGATGGATGGATGGACGGATGGACGGATGGACGGACGGACGGACGGACGGACGGACGGACGGACGGACGACAGACAGTCAGTCAGTCAGTCAGTCATACGTGGCTTGTGGCTAGGCAGGGGACCAGTAAGTGCAAAGGCTGTGAGGTGGAGTCAGAAAGGAGGTTTCTGATCTGGGGGCGCTGGTGTGCTGTGAGTGAGGAGGAAAGGCAGGCAGGGCCAGATCACAAAGGGTTTGTGTGGTCACGATGGAGACACAGAAGAGAACTGAAAGCACAGTGGAAAGCTATTGGAGAACTTCAAGCAGAAAGGTGCCATGGTCTTATTTATATTTGTATAGGGATCAGTCTGGTTGCCTTGTGGAGAACGGGCAAAGAGAGGAAGCAAGGCCGGGTGCGGTGGTTCACACCTGTAATCCCAACACTTTGGGAGGCCGAGGTGGGCAGATCACGAGGTCAGGAGATCGAGACCATCCTGGCTAACATGGTGAAACCCCGTCTCTACTAAAAATACAAAAAATTAGCTGGGCGTGGTGGCAGGCACCTGTAGTCCCAGCTACTCGGGAGGCTGAGGCAGAAGAATGGCATAAACCCGGGAGGCGGAGCTTGCAGTGAGCCGAGATCGCGCCACTGCACTCCAGCCTGGATGACAGAGTGAGACTCTGTCTCAAAAAAAAAAGCAAAAGATGAGTTGGGCTCTTTTTCAGAGATGATGGATTAAACAAATGTAGCTAATTTTACTCTCTCCTAAAACCTCACTAAAGCCAAAATGATTTTTTTTTTTTTTGAGATGGAGTCTCGCTCTGTCGCCCAGGCTGGAGTGCAGTGGCGCGATCTAAAATGATTTTTTTTAAGGTAAAGATAGAGGCTTGTCCAAAGGTAGTGAGTTATCTCAATTGATTGTTCAGTCAGTTACAGATTGAACTCCTTGTTCTACTCTTTACCTACTTCTCACTATTGCACTTGATTAGTCTTTCTTTCTTCCTTTCTTTCCTTCTCTTCTCTTCTTTCTTCTCTCCTCTCCTCTTTGAGACCGGGTCTTACTCGGTCCCCCAGGCTAGAGTGCAGCGGTACAATCTCAGCTCACTACAGCTTCAACTGCCTGGGCTCAAGCAATACTCCCACCTCAGCTTCCTGAGTAGCTTGGTCTACAAACATATGCCACCACGCCTGGCTAATTTTTGTATGTTTTGTAGAGACGGAATTTCACCATGTTGCCCAGGCTGGTCTCAAACTCCTGGGCTCAAAGGATCCTTCCCGCCTCAGCCTCCCAAAATGCTAGGATTACAGGCGTGAGCCACCATGCCCAGCTGACTAGGCTTTAAAAAAAAAAAAGATGGAGAAAATAGGAACGGAAACCAGAGCATCATTTTGGAAACTGGAAGTCAGTAGTAATTGACTAAGCAGGTATGACACAGCTGAGCTTGAAACCTGCAAAAGGGAAAACAATGAAATGATCTGAGGCTCAGGAGCTGGCAGCACCCAGTGCTTCTCCAGCTGTGGTAGACTGGTTAAATAAGAGGAACATGTGAAAAGCACCTTCTCAGAGCCCCTCACTGCCTCTGGGTAATGGTTCCTGCCCTGCTCCAACAGACATCTGGAGGTTTATTATCTTATTTATCTATTTTATTTATGTTTTTTTTGAGACAGGGTCTCTCACTCTGTTGTCCAGGCTGGAGTGCAGGTGCAGTGGCGCAGTCTCGGCTCACTGCAACCTCTGCCTCCTGGGTTCAAATGATTCTCGTGCCTCACCCTCCCAAGTAATCCTCAACTGGGATTACAAGTGCCCACCACCACGCCCAGGTAATTTTTGTATTTTTTTTTTTTTTTTTAGTAGAGAGGGGTTTCACCATGTCGGCCAGGCTGGTCTCGAACTGCTAGCCTCAAGTGATCCATCCACCTCAGCCTCACAATGTGCTGGGATTACAGGTGTGAGTTACCATACCTGCCATTGGAAGTCTATTATCTGAAGAGAGTAGACTAGAGGATGTGATGGGGGCTGGCCCAGCACAGGTGAGGACCTAGATAGTTTACCAGTAACAGGGGCATGAAATGACTATAACTTTCATGAATGCTAAATACTGAGAGCCAACCCCAACCCCAACCCCCTCAACCCCACTCAGCTCCCAGAACTTCCATCTTCCAAAAAAGAGATCAGAAGACTGCTCTGGGGAACATGACCAATCCAAAAAGAAATAACTTAAAATCCTGAATCAGATGTTTCTCCGTACATGGCCTATCCAGATCACCGTAGGGTGAAGCTCAAAGTCAGCAAGCCTCACCCACATACTCAGAGCTTCCTTTCAGTGTTGAGACCTTCTTCCCTCTGAGCAGATGACAAAGGAGTTTGAAACCAGCCTGGCCAACATGGTGAAACCCCGTCTCTACTAAAAACACAAAAATTAGCTGAAATGGTGACTGTAATCCCAGCTACTCAGGAGGCTGAGGCAGGAGAATCACTTGAATCCGGGAGGCAGAGGTTGCAGTGAGCTGAGATCGTGCCATTTCATTCCAGCCTGGGCAACAGAGCAAGCCATCACAGATTTGGGAGCAACCAAGAAAGCCAGGGACAGGGTATGCTTGGTAACCTGGCAAGAGCTGACAAAGGGGAAAAATAAAACCCCACAGAAAGAAGCAGGGAAGTAAGGGAAAGGGACTAATAAGAGTCAAGCAGGGCCAGGGGTGTTGGCTCATGCCTGTAATCCCAGCACTTTGGGAGGCCAAGGTGGGTGGCTCACGAGGTCAGGAGATCGAGACCATCCTGGCTAACACGGTGAAACCCCAACTCTATAAAAATACAAAAAATTAGCCAGGCGTGGTGGTACGCGCCTGCAGTCCCAGCTACTCGGGAGGCTGAGGCAGGAGAATCACTTGAACCTGGGAGGCAGAGGTTGCAGTGAGATGAGATCATGCCACTGCACTCCAGCCTGGGTGACAGAGCGAGACTCCATCTCCAAAAAAAAAAAAAAAAGTCAAGCACATGCAAATGTGGCATGACTTATTGGGAGCAGAAACATTCTGAGAAAAATTATATAAAAATGAGGTTTTAGATTGAAATGGTCTACTAAGTGCCCAATGCAATGAATGAAAAATATATACATTGAAACATAACACTGTGAAACTTAAGAATGCTGAGGACAAAAAATATGAAAGCTTCTAGAGAGAGAGAGATCTCAAAGAGGCAGGCTTCAAAATGACTTCAGATTCCTTTTTTTTTTTTTTTTTTTTTTTTTTCAGAGACAGGGTCTTGCTCTGTTGTCCAATACAGTGGCATAAACAAGGCTCACTGTAACCTCAACCTCCCAGGCTCAAGTGATTCTCCCACCTCAGCCTCCCCAGTAGTTGGGACCACAGGGGCACACCACCACGCCCAGCTAATTTTTAAATTTTTTTCTAGAGGTGAGATCTTGCCATATTGCACAGGCTGGTCTTGAACTCCTGGGTTCAAGTTATCCTCCCACCTTAGCCTCCCAAAGTGCTGGGATTATAGGCATGAGCCACTGCATCAAGCCCAGCTTTCTTTTTTTTTTTTTTTTTTTTGAGATGGATTTTTGCTCTTGTCACCCAGGCTGGAGTGCAATGGCGTGATCTCAGCTACTGCAACCTCTGCCTCCTGGGTTCAAGCGATTCTCCTACCTCAGCTTCCCAAGTAGCTGGGACTACAGGTATGTGCCACCATTGCTGGCTAATTTTTGTATTTTTAGTAGAGACGGGGTTTCACCACGTTGACCAGGCTGGTCATGAACTCCTGACCTCAGGTGATCTGCCCACCTCAGCCTCCCAAAGTGCTGGGATGACAGGCATGAGCCACCATGACTGGCCCAAGCCCAGATTTCTTAAAAAGCTAGAAAACCATGGAGGAATGCCTTCAGAATTCTGATGGAAAGTTAATCCCAACATAGCAGCCTGCTTTCAGCCTAACTGGTATTAAAATAGAAGGGTAGAGGCCGGGTGCAGTGGCTAACGCCTGTAATCCCAGCACTTTGGGAAGCCGAAGCAGGTGGATCACCTGAGATAAGGAGTTCAAGACCAGCCTGGCCAATGTGGTGGAACCCCATCTCTATTAAAAACACAAAAATTAGCTGAGCGTGGTGGCAGGCACCTATAATCCCAGATACATGGGAGGCTGAGGCAGGAGAATTGCTTGAACCTGGGAGATGGAGATTGCAGTGAGCCAAGACTGCGTCACTGCACTCCAGCCTGGGTGCCAAGAGCGAAATTCCATCTCAAAAAAAGGTAGAATAAAAATCTCAGAGAAAGCAAGACCTCAGAAAAAATATTGTCTTTATATTCTTTCTGAGGAAGCTTCTGGAGGTTGAGTTTCACCAAAAGGTGGGCATAGACAGGAAGGAAAAAGAAACAGACAAATGGTTGCCTAAGGGACACAGGAGAGAGGTGATCCTGCACACCGGTGTAGAGGGCAACGAGGCCAGTTTGGAACGGGTTTGAAAATTTAGGGTGAAAGACAGTACAGAGTGCCGTCTCCAGAGCTATGCTTCTCTCTGGAGTGAACAGATGGGCCCGGGGGAAGGTAGGAGGCAGGGGAAGCATCACATGTATCGATGAGACCTACAATGATGATGGTGCATGGCTGAGCCTGAGCAATGGGACAACGAAGGCATGTGTTCTGGCTGGGTGTGATGGCACATGCCTGTAACCCCAACACTTTGGGAAGCCGAGGCAGGTGGATCACGTGAGCCCAGGAGTTTGAGATCAGCCTGGGCAACATAGAAAACCCTGTCTCTACAAAAAGTACAAAAAATAGCCGGGTGTGCTGGTTCACACCTGTAGTCCCAGCTACTCTAGAGGGGGAGGCGGGAGGATCATCTGAGCCCAGGCAGGTCAAGGCTGCAGTGAGCCATGATTACGCCATTGAACCTGGGTGACAGAGTAAGATGATGTCTCAAAAAGAAAAAAAAAATGTGTTCCTTGCCTGGCACCTCTCCTCACTAGCATCTTGATAAGAGCCTTCTGATTCCCTCACACTGCAAGGAATAAGAAGATGAAATCTAGGCTGGGTGCGATGGCTCATGCCTGTAATCCCAGCACTTTGGGAAACTGAGGCGGATGGATCACTTGAGATCAGGAGTTTGAGACCAGCCTGGCCAACATGGTGAAACCCCGTCTCTACTAAAAAAAATACAAAAATTAGCCAGACATGGTAGCACATGCCTGTAGTCCCAGCTACTTGAGAGGCTGAGGCAAGAGATTAGCTTGAACCTGGGAGGTGAAGGTTGCACTGAGCTGATCGTGCCACTGCACTCCAGCCTGGGCAATAGAGCGAAACTGCCTCAAAAAAAAAGAAAGAAATCTGCCTAAATAAGAGGAATTCTATGAATACACACATTCTTGTAGATGTTCAGAGTATCCCTGGAAGGATACACAAGAAGCTGGTCTTGGTGGTTTCTCTGGGAAAGGGACCCAGGTGGTTTGGAGAATGAGGAAGAAGCCTCGTGGTTCACTTTTTTTTCTGTTAAATCTGCACCATGTGCAAAAGACAAAAAAGATCACCTGTCCCCACCCCCACAAAAAATAAGTCAGCTATTGCAGTAGCCTAGGCTAGCACTAAGGTTATCGCAGCAACAGTGGGGGGATTTGAGCAAGACTGGAGATAGCAGAAAGCCAACATGTGCTCAGTGCCCTCAAGGTATTTATACTCTAGAAGGGGGCACACGTGGGAAAAATAGATTAAACGGGGGCTCATCAGAGAAACACTGGACTCCACTGGACTGGCCAAGCAGACAGGAGGGAACCCACCTTCATGCACCTGCTCCTTTTTTTTTTTTTTTTTTTTTTGGAGATGGAGTCTTACTCTGTTGCCCAGGGTGGAGTGCAGTGGCGTGATCCCAGCTCACTGCAACCTTCGCCTCCCAGGTTCAAGCAATTCTCCTGCCTCAGCCTCCCGGGTGGCTGGGACTACAGGCATTCGCCACCACACCTGGCTAATTTTTTGTATTTTAGTAGAGACAGGGTTTCACCATGTTGGCCAGGCTGGTCTCGAGCTCCTGAACTCAGGCAATCCACCCTCCTTGGCCTCCCAAAGCGCTAGGATTACAGGCGTGAGCCACCGCGCCCGGCCACCGGCTCCTATTTTTATATCCCACTCTGGAGCTCTGGTTCCCGGGCACTTGCTCTTCACCTCTGACTCAGAGCGTGAACCTGACTTCACCCTCCTACCCAGGTGGCCAAGACTAAGCAGCAGATTGAGGAGCAGCGGGTGCAGGTGCAGGTGGTGGAGCGGGCCCAGCAGGTGGCAGTGCAGGAGCAGGAGATCGCCCGGCGGGAGAAGGAGCTGGAGGCCCGGGTGCGGAAGCCAGCGGAAGCGGAGCGCTACAAGCTGGAGCGCCTAGCCGAGGCAGAGAAGTAAATGTCCCCTCCCTGACCCTGCCTAGCTCACTTGCCACCTAGGCACCCCAAGATGGAGTGCTGAAGCCTTCACCACCTGGACTCCTATGGATTTCAGGTTTCAGGAGCGTCTGCCTCTGCAGCACTGGGCCTTTCTCCTGGGAGTAAGGGCTGCTGGGCTCCACCCTCCACTTCCCTTCTGTCCACAGGTCCCAACTAATTATGCAGGCGGAGGCAGAAGCCGCGTCTGTGCGGGTGAGTTAAGAGGCAGTTCCATGCTGGCTTGTGGAGAGGGTGGGGGTTGCTGCTTGATCGGGGATTTCTTGTTCTTAATGATTTCCGTCAATCTCACAAGCATCCTTAACCCTCAGATGCGTGGGGAAGCTGAGGCCTTTGCCATAGGGGCCCGAGCCCGAGCCGAGGCTGAGCAGATGGCCAAGAAGGCAGAAGCCTTCCAGCTGTACCAAGAGGCTGCTCAGCTGGACATGCTGCTAGAGAAGCTGCCCCAGGTCTGGAGGTCATGTGGGCACCAAGAAAGGAGGAAATAGAACCAGGGACTAAGGGGTGGGGTGTAGTGAGGGGCTTAGGGAGAAACAGCCTAGGGGGACTCTAAATTAGGGGTGGGAATTATTAGTGACCAAAGTGAGGAAGGATGATCAGTGGAACGAGGACCTTAAAACCCAGAGTAAGTTGTTTTATGAGGAATGTGGTCAGATCATGGGCACTGAGTGGGTGTCTCTCTCCTGCCAGGTGGCAGAGGAGATCAGTGGTCCCTTGACTTCAGCCAATAAGATCACACTGGTGTCCAGCGGCAGTGGGACCATGGGGGCAGCCAAAGTGACTGGGGAAGTACTGGACATTCTAACTCGCCTGCCAGAGAGTGTGGAAAGACTCACAGGCGTGAGCATCTCCCAGGTGAGGTCTCAGGTTGGAGCTGAGGAGAATTGCTAGGTTCCTGTGTTGTGTGACACAGTATGCCTAGCATTTAACCAGCATCCAGGCCTGGGAGTCATTGATGTTTATTAATCACTTTCTGTGTGCCAGACACAGTGCTAAGCTTCTACATAAATGAGTTGTTTTAAATCAAACTACCATTAGGGTATATAGGATTTTACAAAGTCCAGAAACTCAACATCCAGCATGTTCCTACTCATTCTGCTAGTGCAGCTGGAGTGAAATCCAGGTCGACTGTCTCTGCAACCTGTGCTTGTGGTCACCCCACTAGTATAGGGAACTAGTTGCAGCCTATTGACAGTTAATTAATTCTAGGGCATATCACTGCTTTTCTCAGCGCCCCAGTTAATTCACCTGTAGATCATGGTAGAAGTCAGCAAACAGGCTCTGGAACCACTGTTTTGTTGCGAATCCTAGCTACAATGCCTGCTAGCTGTAATCTTGGACAAGTAATCAACCTCTCTATACCTGTTTCCTCATCTTAAAATTGGGTTAATAATTAGAAACTACCCTGTTGAATTGTTGAGGGGCTCGAGCAAATATTTGCAGTGTTTAGAATAGTGCCTGGTATATAGTAAGCATTATGTGTATGTTAAAGAAATGGGGCCAGGTGCAGTGGCTTACGCCTGTAATCCCAGCACTTTGGGAGGCTGAGGCAGGCAGATCACCTGAGGTTAGGAGTTGGAGACCAGCCTGGCCAACATGGTGAAACACCATCTTTACTAAAAATACAAAAAAAAATTAGCCAGGCTTGGTGGTGCATGCCTGTAATCTCAGCTACTCGGGAAGCTGAGGCAGGAGAATTGCTGGAACCCAGGAGCCGAAGGTTGCAGTGAGCTGAGATCACACCACTGCACTCCAGCCTGGGTGACAGAATAAGACTCTATCTCAAAAAAAAAAAAAAATTCCAGGCGCGGTAGCTCATGCCTGTAATCCCAGCACTTTGGGAGGCTGAGGCGGGCAGATCACGAGGTCAGGAGATTGAGACCATCCTGGCTAACACAGTGAAACCCCGTCTCTACTAAAAATACAAAACAGCCGGGCGTGGCGGTGTGTGCCTGTAGTCCCAGCTGCTGGGGAGGCTGAGGCAGGAGAATGGTGTGAACCTGGGAGGCAGAGCTTGCAGTGAGCCGAGATAGCACCACTGCACTCCATCCTAGGCAACAGAGCAAGACTCTGTCTCAAAAAAAAAAAGAGAAAGAAATGCATATTCGGGCTGGGTGCTGTGGCTCACACTTGTAATCCCAGAACTTTGGGAGGCCAGGGTGGACGATCAGCTGAGGTCAGAAGTTTGAGATCACCCTGGCCAACATGGTGATACCCCATCTCTACCAAAAATACAAAAATTAGCTGGGTATGGTGGCGCATACCTGTAATCCCAGCTACTCGGGAGGCTGAGGCAGGAGAATCACTTGAACTCAGGAGGCGGAGGCTGCAGTAAGCCAAGATCGCACCACTGCATTCTAGCCTGGGTGATAGAGTGAGATTCCGTCTCAAAAAAAAAAAGAAAAAAAAAAAGCGTATGTAAATAAAAGCACTGGATCATACCAATGACCTTCAAGCTGGGTTCCTTGGAGCCTCCTGGAGGCCTGCAGTAGAATATTCAGAGCTAAGGAGAGTGTGCAAACAAGGCTCTGCCCCCTCTCCTCTCTTCAGTGATTTATTGTATGTGGGTCCTGATGTCTTTGTTTGGGGAAACAGGTGGTAGGGCACCAGAAAGAACCCTGGCCGTGTGTGTTCTGCCTATAGCCCATTCGTCTAAACTGGGGCCCGGGAGAGTAGGGGCCTCAGCCTCCCGAATGTTCCCAAGTGTCATCTACTGTTGTCTTTTTGCCAGGTGAATCACAAGCCTTTGAGAACAGCCTGAGCCTTCAGCCCTCACAGATGCCCAGCCTCATAGCTGAAGTTGCCTGAATGATCCTCCTGTTGCATGTAACCCACTGGCCTCCCTGAGCATGTCCATTGACAGTGAGGTCCCACCCCTCATCTCTCCTTGCCAAATAGTTTGTGCCTTGTCTTGAAGGGGGTTGCTCCCCTTGCCAACCTCACACTGCTATGATTGCCAACTCCAGCGGTCCCATGTCAGCCTTCTGATGATCCCACTCCACCCCACCTCAACTTATTTAACTTCCTAATTAAATCAGACTGTTTGAGCCTGTTGTCTAGAATATTTTCCTGACCAAGACTGAGGGATGGGCTGGAGGTTTTCAACTTTGCTACCCAAATAAATTGCTGTAAGTAAGTACTAATAAAACAGAAGCAACTGGAAATTAATGCTTGGCCCGGCACAGTGGCTCATGCCTGTAATCCCAGCACTTTGGGAGGCCAAGGCAGGCAGATCATCTGAGGTCAGGAGTTCAAGACCAGCCTGGCCAACATGACGAAACCTTGTCTCTACCAAAAATACAAAAATTAGCCAGGCAGGGTGAAACATGCCAAGTAGTAGTCCCAGCTACTTGGGAGGCTGAGGCAGGAGAATTACTTGAACCTGGGAAGCAGAGGTTGCAGTGAGCCAAGATCGCACCACTGCACTCTAGCCTAGGTGACAGAGTGAGACTGTTTCAAAAAAAAAGAGAAAAAAAATGAATGCTAGACTCAGGTATGGTGACTCTTGCCTATAGTCCTAGCTACTTGGGAGGCTAAGGTGGGAGGATCACTTGAGCTCAGGAGTCTAAGGCTGTAGTGAGCCATGATCACACCACTGCATTCCAGCCTGGGTGACAAAGCAAGATCCTGGCTCTATTAGAAAGAAAATGAATGCTAGAATGTAGCTTCTTCCCTTGCATACAATAGGCTTTCTTGCATACAATAGGCTTTCTAGAATGGGAGAAAAGCAAGTTACTTATATACTGTCAAGAGTTTTAGAGTTAATTTTTCCCCCCAACAGTGTATTATAGTCAGAAAAGCATGCTAAAATAGAAGGAATGTTGGGAATAATACTAGTTCCTAGAATTCCTGAAAACATGGCAAAAGGAATTATTGTTTTCAGGGTAGCTTTGAGACTTGCATTGTGAACTTAAAAGTATGAGGTAGTAGATGGTACAGATTGTTTTAGAATGGGACCATAAGGTAGCAATCCCGCCTAGTTATCCTTTTTTTTTTTTAAAGACAAGGTCTTGGGCTTGGGCCGGGCACGGTGGCTCATGCTTGTAGTCCCAGAACTTTTTGGGAGGCTGAGACGGGTGGATCACTTGAGGTCAGGAGTTTGAGACCAGTCCTGGCCAACGTGGTGAAACCCCATCTCTACTAAAATACAAAAATTAGCCCGGCGTGATGGTGGGTGCCTGTAATCCCAGCTACTTGGGAAGCTGAGGCAGAATTCCTTGAACCCGGGAGGCAGAGGTTGTAGCGAGCCAAGATCGCGCCAATGTGCTCCAACCTGGGCAACATAGCAAGACTCCATCTCAAGAAAAAAGAAAAAAAAAGACAAGGTCTTGCTCTGTCACCCAGGCTGGGGTGCAGGGGTAGGGTCAGGGCTCATTGCAGCCTCTACCTCCCAGGCTCAGGCAATCCTCCCATCCAATCCCCACCCCCCTACCCCCAACAACCACCACCCCCCTCTACCCCAGCAGCTGGGACTACAGGCATGCACCACCATGCCCAGCTTTTTTTTTTGTTAGATGGTTCACTGCTGCCCAGGCTGGTGTGGAACTCCTGGGCTCAAGCCATCCTCCTGCCTCGGCCCCCCAGAGTGCTGGGATTACAAGTGGGAGCCACCATACCAGGGCTTCACTAGTTATCTTGGTGTCATAGGTTGACTAAGCCCACAGGATCACAGGAAATGGCCATGGGTACACATAACCCAAAGGAATCCTGGGCTGGGTGGCCAAGGCCAGTTCAACCATTTATGGTTCAGTACATCTGGGTGGGATGAAAAACTTGCATTTATTTCTGCAAGTTCCCAGAGGATGTGGATGCTGGTCTGGAAACCAGTTACACGTGATTTGTCATTCTTCTCAGCTTCCATTTTCCATCCCTGGATCCTGCATCTAAGCCTATGCCTTCCCCAGTTAAGACTCATTGGTGGGCCTGGTGCACTGGCTCACCTGGCTTATGCCTACAGTCCCAGCTGCTTGGGAGAATGAGATGGATTGTTTGAGCCCAGGACATCAAGGCTGTAGTGAGCTGTCAGAGACTACAGTAAAGACTGACTGGTGCTCAGAGCAGTTTGGGTACCAGAAACAATGATGTGAGGGTCTATAAAGCAGTCAGTGTCCTTACCAGTACCTCCCTGAGATACCAAATCGGCAGACACCCAAGTCCCTCATATAAAATGTAGTACTTGCATATAACCTGTGTACTTCAAATCATCTCTACGTTACTTGTAATACCTAATCTAATGCAAATATTATGTAAATAATTTATACTATTATTGTTTAGGGAATAATGAGAAGTCTATACATGTCCAGTACAACTCTTTTCCCAATATCCAGTTGGTTGAATCCGTAGGACAGGGACTCAATATTAAGTGTCAATTTAAGGAGAGCAGTGCAACTGAACTCAGGCCCCATGCCTCCATCAGCCAGCCGTGTTTCCCTAAATAAGCACACATCTCGCAGCTTTTTTCAATTCCCATTTATTTTTGGCTCTTGGGGCGATGTCATCTTTTCAATATGAAAAAAAGCAGCAAGTTCAACATAAAATAGAAATCTCAAATGTAGGATAGAACAAAACCAAGTGTGTGAGGGGGGAAGCAACAGCAAAAGGAAGAAATGAGATGTTGCAAAAAAGATGGAGGAGGGTTCCCCTCTCCTCTGGGGACTGACTCAAACACTGATGTGGCAGTATACACCACTCCAGAGTCAGGGGTGTTCATTCTTTTTTGGGAGTAAGAAAAGGTGGGGATTAAGAAGACGTTTCTGGAGGCTTAGGGACCAAGGCTGGTCTCTTTCCCCCCTCCCAACCCCCTTGATCCCTTTCTCTGATCAGGGGAAAGGAGCTGAGTGAGGGAGGTAGAGTTGGAAAGGGAAGGATTCCACTTGACAGAGTGGGACAGACTCCTCCAGAGTAGAGCTTGGAGGGAGATTGAAAGTGGAGATAATACTGCTGACACCTCCCTTGAAGCTGAGATGGGAAATGGACATACTTAGAAATTTAGTGACTTTAATAGCCTGGATTTCCCTCTCCAAAACTTTTAGAATGGAAAATCCCATCCCCTTCCTTATATAGTGACTTCTACCCACTACCTTCTACCATTTTCTACTTTGGGCTTAGGATGATGGCCATTATCTACATGTGTTTTCAGCACCTGGTTGGTTCTAAATGGGATCTGGAGACCCAGCTTCTTGGAGATTTTTAAGAGGAAGTATTAACTGGACAAATGGAATGGGCACCAGAAAGAAATACAGGGTCACCCAGAATGGCAGAAACCTAGGTTTCCCAGAGTGGAAAGAGAGAGGAGACATTCAACAAACAAGTATTTATTGAGCGCCTACTATGTGCCAGGCACTGTTCTAGACCCCCCCCAGAAGAAAAAACAAAAAACAAGATAGAGGCAGCAAACACAAATTCTGAGGGAGAGGAAAGGGGCAGTTGAGTAAGACGGCTAAGGGAACTGAGAAGCCTGAGGTGATGGGGGCTCTGCCTTAGGCCTCCTCTTCGGCCTCCTCACCGAAATCCTCCTCCTCTTCTGCGGTGGCATCCTGGTACTGCTGATACTCAGAGACGAGGTCGTTCATGTTGCTCTCAGCCTCGGTGAACTCCATCTCGTCCATGCCCTCGCCTGTGTACCAGTGGAGGAAGGCCTTCCGGCGGAACATGGCAGTGAACTGCTCCGAGATGCGCTTGAAGAGCTCCTGGATGGCTGTGCTATTGCCAATGAAGGTGACTGCCATCTTGAGGCCACGAGGTGGGATGTCACAGACGGCTGTCTTGACATTGTTGGGGATCCATTCCACAAAGTAGCTGCTGTTCTTGTTCTGCACGTTAAGCATCTGCTCATCGACCTCCTTCATGGACATCCGACCACGGAAGACAGCAGCCACGGTGAGGTATCGGCCGTGGCGGGGGTCACAGGCAGCCATCATGTTCTTGGCATCGAAGACCTGCTGGGTGAGTTCCGGCACTGTGAGAGCTCGATACTGCTGGCTTCCACGGCTGGTGAGAGGGGCAAAGCCAGGCATAAAGAAATGGAGACGTGGGAAGGGGACCATGTTGACTGCCAACTTGCGGAGGTCAGCATTGAGCTGGCCAGGGAAACGGAGGCAGGTGGTGACACCACTCATGGTGGCTGAGACAAGGTGGTTCAGATCCCCGTAGGTTGGTGTGGTCAGCTTCAGAGTGCGGAAGCAGATATCATAGAGGGCCTCGTTGTCAATGCAATAGGTCTCATCAGTATTCTCTACCAACTGATGGACGGAGAGGGTGGCATTGTAGGGCTCGACCACGGTGTCAGACACTTTGGGTGAAGGCACCACACTGAAGGTATTCATGATGCGATCAGGGTATTCTTCTCGGATCTTGCTGATAAGGAGAGTGCCCATTCCAGAGCCTGTGCCCCCGCCCAGTGAGTGGGTCAGCTGGAAGCCCTGCAGGCAGTCACAGCTCTCTGCCTCCTTCCGTACCACATCCAGGACAGAATCAACCAGCTCGGCGCCCTCTGTGTAGTGGCCTTTGGCCCAGTTGTTACCTGCCCCAGACTGACCTGGAATGCAGTCAGGAGAAAAGCTCAATTAACAGGGTATGGAAGATACATGATGTTTCCATCTTTCAACTTTTCAAATAATTCCCTCGGATGTATCTTCTTTCTCCTTCACTGTGATATATTCTCCCCCTACTGCCCCATAATTTACCAGCAATAGTAGGCACTACCTCTACCCTCCGTTAGATTTCAGAACACATTTCTGTATTAGCACTCCAATACAACAATCATCTCCTAACTTTTGCTGTGTCCTTGCACCCAAATAAGTTGAACACGATGGTATATCATCTGCTAATATCATCTATATAACTCACCAAATACAAAGTTGTCTGGTCTAAAGATCTGGCCAAAAGGACCTGAGCGAACAGAGTCCATGGTCCCAGGTTCTAGATCCACCAGGATGGCACGAGGAACATATTTGCCACCTACAGAGAATAAAGTTAAGAGCTGTGAAATCTGGCAGAAGGGAAGGTTTATAGATATACTGGAAATGGGAGACAGCAGGGATCAGAGACTTGTCATTCCAGGTCCCGCCACCAGGTGGCAGCAGACGTCTTTGGCCCCGACGGTGGTTCACGAAAGGGACAAAATGACAGATTCACCCAAAGGGGATAAGGCGTGCCCAGAAATGGAAAGAGATCCCAGATAAGTGGGAGACAGGGAAGGGAACCTGAGCTGCCCGGGCTCCTGCCCTTACCTGTGGCTTCATTGTAGTACACAGAGATGCGGTCCAGCTGCAGGTCGCTGTCCCCGTGGTAGGTGCCGGTGGGGTCGATGCCATGTTCATCACTGATCACCTCCCAGAACTGCCGAGGGGGAGCAACGAGACCACAACAGGTCAAGTCCCAGCCAACTATGTCCCCAACTACCATTTTATTTCATCTTTTTCTTAATTTTTTTTGAGACGGAGTCTCGCTCTGTCACCAGGCTGGAGTGCAGTGGCGCTATCTCGGCTCACTGCAACCTCTGCTTCCCGGGTTCAAGCGATTCTCCTGCCTCAGCCCCCGGAGTAGCTGGGACTATAGGCGCGCACCAACACGCCCAGCTACTTTTTGTATTTTTAGTAGAGACGGGTTTCACCATGTTGGCCAGGATGGTCTAGATCTCTTGACCTCGTGATCCGCCCACCTTGGCCTCCCAAAGTGCTGGGATTACAAGGGTGAGCCACCGCGCCCAGCTTCTTCTAATTTTTAAGACAGGGTCTTCCTGTTGCCCAGCCTGCAGTGCAGTGGTGCAATCACGGATGACTACAGCGTGGAACTCCCAGGCTCAACCGATCCTCCCATCTCAGCCTCTCGAGTAGCTGGGACCACAGACGCGCGCCACCACGCCCAGCTAATTTTTTACTTTTATTTTTTGTAGAAACGTGGCATGGGGGAGGGTCTCGCTTTGTTGCCCAGGATGGTCTCGAACCCCTGACCTGGAGGGATCCCAATTCGCCCACCTCGGCCCCACATCTCCCATTTTAATTCCACAAGCGCTCAGGCCGTTGTTCTAGGGCATGGCATCCCGTGGGCCTGCCACACCCTTCCCCTAGACACTCGCTCCCCCGAGAAAGCCACAGCTTTCCCTGCTCTGGATATGTGCAGCGGGTCCCAAGTGCTCGGTGGGCGGATGGAGGTCGACCACACTTCGATAAGCGCCGCTCTCCTTCCCCCAAGCTGGGCACCGCCCCACCGCGCGGCGCACAAAAGGCTGGGGGTCTGAGGAAAGAGCTGCCGCCGCAGTCGACCACCCCCCCCGCCCTCCACGTGACTGCGGCGCACGCGCAGGTCGAGCCGCCGACAAAAGACTTCGCGCGTGGGCGGGGCCAGGGACAAAAATTCCGCGCGCGAGGGGCGGGGCCCAAGGTAGCGCGCCCCTGCCGGCGGGCAACGCCGCATTGTCCCCGCGCGCCCACGGCGCCCCGGCCCCGCCCCGCAGGGCCCCGCCCTTCTGCTACAACGTAGCAGCCGCACTTCCTCCCGCCCCTCCCCCGCTACACTGTAACCGCGCGCAAAAAAAAAAAATCCCCCTTGGCCTCGGAATTTTTATTCCTTCGCTACATTTCTACCCCTTGATTTAAAGGATTCTTTCTCTCCCATTAAGTCCTGAGGGACTCATTAAAGAAAACCACACACCCCCATTTTCTCGACATATCTGTTCACGCCCTAAAAAAGTCTCTCTTAGGGGCCATGAAAGCAAGTAAAATTAATCCCGTTCTTATTCTCCTTCCACCCAGGAACAAATACAGGACCGGCCCTCTGGGGTCGCGGGCGCGTTGGGGTCCCTGGTCTTTTGTGAAAGGTAGCGCCCAGCGCAGCCCACCCTGGCGCATCGCCCCCCACCCTTGCGCTGGAGCTCTCTGCAGCCGCCCGATGGCCTCACCCCTTCCCGCTCCGGTTTGGCCCTAAGTACCCCGCAGGGGGGTTGGGCGGGATGCACATGGGCAAAACCTCGCCCCGCTTTGTCTGCGACCGTTTCCGCATCTCTCTCCCTGCCCGGTTCTCGGACCGTTAGAAGCCCTTTTAAGTAACATCTTATAAGTCCTCGGTCTTCCCGCCCCCAAACCCGAAGAGCCCTTTTACTAGTTTCTCCAAAATGTGCCTGCCAAGAAAAATGATTCCCAGCTTTCCAAAGGCAAATGCTAGCTACAATTGTTATATATATAAATGTAACAAACTTGAGAGGGGCAAATCTTGATTAAGGATAGCGGGTGCAAATGCCCCACAACCATTTTTTCATAACTTACCTGGATTTTTCCTTGTAAAAAGAAATAAAAGAGGTGTAAAATTCTTACCTTGGCACCGATCTGGTTGCCACACTGACCAGCCTGGATGTGCACGATTTCCCTCATGGTTAAAATTTAATTTTTTTGCTCGCCTCAAGGTATGTATGGGGCAAGAAAATAAGTAATTTTTTTTCTCCGCAGGTCGCAGGCTGGAAGGTTGGAATGCGCCCCAGAGGCTGGAGCAGCGAGGTGCAAACGCGACGGCAGGAAGGTTCTGAGAGGGAGAAAGGAGAGGGGAGGGCGCGGAGGGAAAGCAGGCTGGGCGGGGCGCGCGTGCGCCGGGGCTGGGAGGCGGGAGAATCGGCCCCGCGCGCGGTAGGGAGACAAAGCCTCATCGAGCCTGGCCCTGATTAGTCGATGCCGGTCATGTACCAGGCGTCCATTGGCCTCTGAGCCAGTGGACGAGCGCAGTCCTCTTTGGGAGTTGTAGTCCCCTATTGTTGTCCATGCTGCAAAATGAAGTGACGAATGGGTGGGTACCGGTTTGGTTTTCATGGGGTTTTTGTTTTGTAAATGAAAAACGACCTTGCGCAAGATTCCTTTCCTCTATGCCTGAGGTTTTTGTACAAAAAGTGAGCAGTTCTTGGGGGTACAGGAATTGAGAAGTCTGGGGTTCCAGAAGTTGGGTGGTGGGGAAGACACGCCCTGAAAGCTCCCAGCTGCAGTACCTCTAGGGGAGAAAGGATTGCTTAGTTCAGCGAAAAATGGGGAGAAGTCTGGCACCGTGCTCTGCCTCCCCTGGCCTTTGGTGACCCAAGGCATGAACTTCAGTAAGCTTCTGCTCCCTCAAATACTTCAAGAAGGGAATCGCCCTCTTGCTATTTCCTTGGAAATTTTCGAGCCATTGTTTTGAAAGAGAAACAAAATTGCAGCAAGGGCTTTTCAGGATAGCGATGTTGTCTGGAGAGTATGTTCAAAGAATAAAATAGTTTAGAGAAACCGACATCGGGGATTTGTGAAACTAGAAGTCTCCTACGTGGGTAGGAGATCTGGACCTTAGGGCAGACTTTGAAGACACCTTGGTCTTCTTGTCAAACAGGGAACTATGGAATGAGATGCCTGATAGATTTTCAGTTTTTTCAGCCTGCCTCTTTAGACATGTTAATGAAGTCAGTGGTTTTTCAATTCGCTGATTTCACTGACCAGGTGGCCGCCACTGCAACTCTGCAAGAGACCCAGTATTGAAAAACGAGAGAGGGGTAATTGATGGGGGAAAAATTGAGTGGGTTCAAGACGGAGTCCATCTGCTTCTTCCCATAGATTTATTATTCACTTATTTGATAGTTACTATGTATCCACCAAATTAGGAGCTATGGTTACAAAATGATTAAGAATTAGCTCCCTGTCCTCCAGGATGTTGCAGTCTGGTGAGAAGCATACAATCAATAAAATGTGGTAACCACTCAGAAATGTAGTATCAAGTCAACGTCATTGTTAATTCACATTCGATCACACAGATCAATGTATTTCTTTTTTTTTTTTTTGTATTTTTAGTAGAGACAGGGTTTCACTGTGTTAGCCAGGATGGTCTCGATATCCTCACCTCGTGATTCGCCCGCCTTTGCCTCCCAAAGTGCTGGGATTACAGGCGTGAGCCACCGCGCTGGGCAGATCAATGTATTTCTAAGTTGCCTTCTAAATGAGGGAACATCAACTTGTGTAAGCCCTCTCTACCCACTTAAAATATAATGCTTTACGTTTTAGGGAAATGAACACAGTCATTTTGTGGGAGTAGAAATAACTCAAAATACACAATCAGATAACTTGTTTCAATTTGTCTCTATATTAGCTGTAGGATCCTAGGAAAGTCCTTTAACTTTGCAGGGCTCCAGCTCCTCGTTTGTAAAATCTGCTTATTTGACTGTTGTGCACAGAATTGAGATAACCAACAGAAAGGACTTTATGAATTATGCAAGTGTTATAGTTACCATTTTCTTCATGTCTTATTGTGAGATAAAATAGGCCGGGCGCAGTGGCTTACGCCTGTAATCCCAGCACATTGGGAGGCCCAGGCGGGAGAATCACCTGAGGTCCGGAGTTTGAGACCAGACTGACCAACATGGAGAAACCCCGTCTCTACTAAAAATACAAAATTAGCCGGGCGTGGTAGCGCATGCCTGTAATCCCAGCTACTCGGGAGGCTGAGACAGGAGAATTGCTTGAACCCAGAAGGCGGAGGTTGCGGTGAGTCGAGATCGCGCCATTGCACTCCAGCCTAGGCAACAAGAGCGAAAGTCCGTCTCAAAAAATAAAATATAGATGGCCGCATGCGGTGGTTTACGCCTGTAATCCCACCACTTTGAGAGGCCGAGGCGGGCGGATCACCTGAGGTCAGAAGTTCGAGACCAGCCTGACCAACATGGAGAAACCACGTCTCTACTAAAAATACAAAAATAAGCTGGGCGTGGTGGCGCATGCCTGTAATCCCAGCTACTTGGGAGGTTGAGGCAGGAGAATCGCTTGAACCTGGGAGGCAGAGGTTGCGGTGAGTCGAGATCGCGCCATTGCACTCCAGCCTGGGCAACAAGAGCAAAACTCCATCTCAAAAAATAGATAAATTAGTTAATTAAAAAATAAAAATAAATGATTTTATGATCCTTCCCTCGCCCCTCGAAAGGTGGGGACAGCCTTTAAGACAGAGAGCAAACCAGTTTTCTCTGTTCGACTACAGATCTTTAGGATCTTGGATTTAAGAAAATGACCTCAAAATGTCCGTCAGAGACGTATTCCCAGGAAGAAAGATATTACTTCTACTACAAACCAAATCAAAAGGAAATGAAATTCCAATGCAACAGGAGTGAACTGCCACGCCTACGGGCTGTTCTCCAAACTGCAGCCTCCAGCCACGACTGCAACGCGCAACCCACTTTCATTTCTCATGAGTCAGCGGACACCATGTCTAGGAGGACCGAGGAAAGGCGCTCTGGCCTTACCAGACACGTCGGACGTCTATGACACAGCCCCTCTATCCGTTGCCGGCAGCTGGCGCCAGACTCTCTGGTCGCGGTTTGGAACTGCGCGGGAAGTGGGTGGTGGGCGGGCAAGCGGTAGTGGGTTGTCCCTTGGAGCTGCCCAATCGACGTGCATTATTCTGTTGGCGCACGGCGGCCTTCAATTACCGTCTCATTAACTGATCTCAGCAGCCTGGGAGACACCACCTATTTGAACTCTAAGGGGGCGGGGCTTTGGGTGTGCCTCCGCTCGACTGGCTGCGGTTGTGAAAGACAGCGGCAGAAGCCAATCAGCAAATAAGCTCTTTTTCGGCACACGCAGTCGCTCCACCCGGGTCGCGACCGTTACTGGTGGCGCGCGCGGGGACTTAAAGTAGGTGAGTTCTAGGGGCCTGGCCCACGGCTCCCCGGGAGCCATCTTGGTTCCCCCAGAAGGCGGGAGGGGCGTACCTTGGGTGCGACTGGGCGGAGGTGACTTGGAAGTTCGCTTCTCGGACTGTAATACTCATCCTTACCTGGCGCCCCGCTCCGAGTTTAGGTATGAAGACACAGGGAGACGTCGGGCCACAAGGGAACCCACTGAGGTGGGGACCAAAGATGGTGGCTCTTTGAATTGGAGCCAAGCGTGGTGGGCACCCGCTGAGTTGGCCTGTCATAAAGACGGAGTTGACACTTTATCCATGGGGCATCCTACTTTCCCTACCTGTCAACAGTTTCCCTCTAGAGTGGCATATTTTCAGGTGAATTCCATTTATGCTATTTTCTTTCCATCTCATTTGTTCCTTCATCAGTAGGCTCGGTGATGAGCCTTCCCGAGGGCAGGGTCGATTTCATGTTTGGTTCACAGATGTATACCAAATACTTCAAACAGGTATACCATAACCATTGAATGAATATGATGGACCCTAGGGGAAAGACACGGTTCCCCTAATCCAGTCCTGGAGGTGGGTGAGTGTGAAGGCAGAAATGGAAAGTAATGGTTACAATATAGCGAGAGATCTTAGAGTAAGCACAAATCCATTGACCACTGTGGAACAGGCAGGATACACCAGGAACACGAGAAGGCAGGGAACACGCCAGGAAAGGGTTTGCTGAGAAAGTGACATTTGAGGCCGGGCGCGGTTGCTCACTGCTGTAATCCCAACACTTTGGGTGGCCAAGGTGGGCGGATCACCTGAGGTCAGGAGCTCGAGACCGTGGTGAAACCCCGTCTCTACTAAAAATACAAAAATTAGCCAGGCGTGATGCCGGGCGCCTGTAATCCCAGCTGCTCGGGAGGCTGAGGCAGGAGAATCGCTTGAAGCCTGGAGGCAGAGGTTGCAGTGAGCCAAGATAGCACCACTGCAGTCCAGCCTGGACGACAGAGCGAGATTCCATCTCAAAAAAAAAAAAAAAGAAAGAAAGTGACATTTGAACTGAATCTTAAAGGATGGTAGAAGTTGGACCAGAAAACTAGGTGGGAAAAAGCCAAGGAATTGGGCTAAGGCATGAAGATGTGGGAAGACAAGAACAGTGTGTTCGAAGACTGGGGAAAATGTCTGGCTGAACCATAGGCTTTTGCGGGCGAGGGGTAGGCGTTACAAGATGTGAAGTTCAGATCATGGAGGGTCTCGCTAAGGAGTTTAGATTTTATTCTGTGTGCACGAAAAACCATCAAGATTTTAGAGGAGAGACATCTGAGTGATTTGGGGCAAGTCTTAACCTTATATATGCTTATGTATGTTTCAAGGAGATCTGAAAATCTTAACCCAGCTATGTTGCAGTTTCTTTATCTGAAGAAATGGAAGATAGTAATACTACTTTACAAGGTTCTTGTGAAGATTAAATGAGTCAGAGTCGATATAAAGTAATTAGAACAGTGCTTGACACATAGGAAGCTTCTATATATGTCATCTTTTATTATCATTTTTTGCAGTTGCATCTGATCAAACTGAGGTGGTCTGGTAAAAGTATAAAAAGCATGGGCTAAAAAAGAAAGAAAAACAACGGGGCGCAGTGGCTCACGCCTGTAATCCCAGCACTTTGGGAGGCCAAGGTGGGCGGATCACCCAAGGTCAAGAGTTCGAGTCCACCCTGGCCAATATGGCAAAACCCCATCTCTTCTAAAAATACAAAAATTAGCCAGGCATGGTGGCAGGTGCCTGTAATCTCAGCTACTTGGGAGGCTGAGGTGAGAGAATTGCTTGAAACCCGGGAGGCAGAGGTTGCCGTGGGCCCAAGATCTTACCACTGCATGCCAGCCTGGGGAGCAGAACGAGACTCCATCACAAAAAAGAAAAAAATGTTTTAAGTGCTTCAGAAGGTTAACAACAGAAAGATTGGTGGAAAGAGAAGCATCAACGTTCATAATGATCCAGTTTACCCCCTAGTTTTCAGTCTGATAACTCTGATGCTGTTTGTGTGAACCAATAATGAGGATAATTGATAATGTGTATCCTTCCCAGATCATGGAGGACACCCAGGCTATTGACTGGGATGTTGAAGAAGAGGAGGAGACAGAGCAATCCAGTGAATCCTTGAGGTGTAACGTGGAGCCAGTAGGGCGGCTACATATCTTTAGTGGTGCCCATGGACCAGAAAAAGGTCAGAGGGTATTGGATGTTCAAGTATTGATATAGATCTTTTATTTTTGTGGTAAGGTATTTGGAGGGTTGCAAGAAGCTTATGTATGTTTCAATGAGATGTGAATTTTTTTTTTTCATGAATGGAAGAGATGGGGCCGATTGAGTTGATAGTTGCAGACTACTACCCTGGACTCACTGGAAGTGATTTTACTTTGATAAAAGAAAATTAAGAGATTGAAATGAAGCTGGGTGCAGTGACTCACACCTGTAATTCCCGTGCTTTGAGAGGCCAAGGCAGAAGGATCACTTGAGACTAGGAGTTAGAGACCAGCCTGGGTAGCATAGCAAAACCCTGTCTCTACGAAAAATTTAAAAATTAGCCAGGTGTGGTGGTTCATTTCACATCTGCAGTCCCACCTACTTGGGAGGCTGAGCCAGATGATCACTTGAACCCAAGAGTTCAAGATTGCACTGATCTATGATCATGACACTGCATTCTAGCCTGGGTGACAGAATGAGACCCTGTCTCAAAAAAAAAAAAAAAATCAAATAAAATCCAATTGTGTGCTCTGGAGATGGATGGTAGTGATGATTGCACAACAGTGTGAATGCACTTAATGCCACTGAACTATACACTTAAAATTATTAAGGTGATACATTTTGTGTTATGTGTATTTTATAACAGTAAAAAAACATCCATTGTGGATGGATGGGGTATCGCATATACTCTTTCAGTGCCTAGATGTCCTAGGGCCTTTTATTTTTCTAATGCATATGGAGGCCTTGAGTGAGTAGTAGAGTACCTAATAGGCACTTTTTCCTAATGACAGGCCAGGACTCTGATCTTGGAGCTTATCTACCTCTCTAATTCTTAGATTTCCCACTACACCTCGGGAAGAATGTGGTAGGCCGAATGCCTGACTGCTCTGTGGCCCTGCCCTTTCCATCTATCTCCAAACAACATGCAGAGATTGAAATCTTAGCCTGGGACAAGGCACCTATCCTCCGAGACTGTGGGAGCCTTAATGGTACTCAAATCCTGAGACCTCCTAAGGTTTTGAGCCCTGGGGTGAGTCACCGTCTGAGGGACCAGGAATTGATTCTCTTTGCTGACTTGCTCTGCCAGTACCATCGCCTGGATGTCTCTCTGCCCTTTGTCTCCCGGGGCCCTCTGACAGTAGAAGAGACACCCAGAGTACAGGGAGAAACTCAACCCCAGAGGCTTCTGTTGGCTGAGGACTCGGAGGAGGAAGTAGGTAAGTTTGTATATTGGCAGGGAGAATGAGGAGACAGGAATAATGAGTGTACAATTGTCAACTCATTCCTTTCTGTTCTTGACAGATTTTCTTTCTGAAAGGCGTATGGTAAAAAAATCAAGGACCACATCTTCCTCTGTGATAGTTCCAGAGAGGTGAGTGCCAAAGAGTCAGACACCTGAGTCTTCAAAATGAGGAAGAACCAGGGGCTGGAGGATCAATCTCTAAAAGAGATGATTATCATGAGAGTTGGGGCTGGGGAACCATACATATTCATTCACTCAGCTGAATTTTTATGGAGCACATCTGATGTGCCAAGTGGAAAACAAATTGGAAACAGAAGAAGAAATATGCTACCTTGTGTCTCCCCTCAAGGAGCTCACAGTTGAGTTGGGGTATCCCTTCCAGGGAAATAAATTCTATAGACTCTCTTTTCTTCCCTTCACAGTGATGAAGAGGGGCATTCCCCGGTCCTGGGCGGCCTTGGGCCGCCTTTTGCCTTCAATTTGAACAGTGACACAGATGTGGAAGAAGGTCAGCAACCAGCCACAGAGGAGGCCTCCTCAGCTGCCAGAAGAGGTGCCACTGTAGAGGCAAAGCAGTCTGAAGCTGAAGTTGTAACTGAAATCCAGCTTGAAAAGGATCAGCCTTTAGTGAAGGAGAGGGACAATGATACAAAAGTCAAGAGGGGTGCAGGGAATGGGGTGGTTCCAGCTGGGGTGATTCTGGAGAGGAGCCAACCTCCTGGAGAGGACAGTGACACAGATGTGGATGATGACAGCAGGCCTCCTGGAAGGCCAGCTGAGGTCCATTTGGAAAGGGCTCAGCCTTTTGGCTTCATCGACAGCGACACTGATGCGGAAGAAGAGAGGATCCCAGCAACCCCAGTTGTCATTCCTATGAAGAAGAGGAAGATCTTCCATGGAGTAGGTACAAGGGGTCCTGGAGCACCAGGCCTGGCCCATCTGCAGGAGAGCCAGGCTGGTAGTGATACAGATGTGGAAGAAGGCAAGGCCCCACAGGCTGTCCCTCTGGAGAAAAGCCAAGCTTCCATGGTTATCAACAGCGATACAGATGACGAGGAAGAAGTCTCAGCAGCGCTGACTTTGGCACATCTGAAAGAGAGCCAGCCTGCTATATGGAACAGAGATGCAGAAGAGGACATGCCCCAACGTGTGGTCCTTCTGCAGCGAAGCCAAACCACCACTGAGAGAGACAGTGACACAGACGTGGAGGAGGAAGAGCTCCCAGTGGAAAATAGAGAAGCTGTCCTCAAGGATCACACAAAGATTAGAGCCCTTGTTAGAGCACATTCAGAAAAGGACCAACCTCCTTTTGGGGACAGTGATGACAGTGTGGAAGCAGATAAGAGCTCACCTGGGATCCACCTGGAGAGAAGCCAAGCCTCCACCACAGTGGACATCAACACACAAGTGGAGAAGGAAGTCCCGCCAGGGTCAGCCATTATACATATAAAGAAGCATCAGGTGTCTGTGGAGGGGACAAATCAAACAGATGTGAAAGCAGTTGGGGGACCAGCAAAGCTGCTTGTGGTATCTCTAGAGGAAGCCTGGCCTCTGCATGGGGACTGTGAAACAGATGCAGAGGAGGGCACCTCCCTAACAGCCTCAGTAGTTGCAGATGTAAGAAAGAGCCAGCTTCCAGCAGAAGGGGATGCTGGGGCAGAGTGGGCTGCAGCTGTTCTTAAGCAGGAGAGAGCTCATGAGGTGGGGGCCCAGGGTGGGCCACCTGTGGCACAAGTGGAGCAGGACCTCCCTATCTCAAGAGAGAACCTCACAGATCTGGTGGTGGACACAGACACTCTAGGGGAATCCACCCAGCCACAGAGAGAGGGAGCCCAGGTCCCCACAGGAAGGGAGAGAGAACAACATGTGGGTGGGACCAAGGACTCTGAAGACAACTATGGTGGTAAGTGCTGGCCTTCCTTCCTTGACCTCTGAAATCAACCAGGGTTCTAACAGCTGGGGTTGGGGAGAGAAAGGTAGAGATTATTTAAGGAGTTTAGTGTCAGGTATGATTTTTGTTTTAAACTGTCTTATATTCCTCCCCGACCAGATTCTGAAGATCTGGACCTACAAGCTACCCAGTGCTTTCTGGAGAATCAGGGCCTGGAAGGTGAGGACTTCTGTGTTATTTGAATCCTGTACCAGTGGGAGCTGGGAGATTAGACTGGTGGTCCTTGAAGGGTAAAGGCTAGTATGGGTAGGGTAGGAGACCAGGAATGGAACCCTACAGTAGTATGGAGGAGATGAACTTAGGCCATCTTTTCCTGTACAGCAGTCCAGAGCATGGAGGATGAACCTACCCAGGCCTTCATGTTGACTCCACCCCAAGAGCTTGGCCCTTCCCATTGCAGCTTCCAGACAACAGGTATAAGAAACTCTTCCCTCCTCTGTGTCCCCAATTCTGCATTCTCTTTTTTTTCCTCTGTCACTCAGGCTGGATTACAGTGGTGCAGTCTCGGCTCACTGTAACCTCCGCCTCCCAGGCGGTTTCTCTTCCTTCAGCTTCCCAGGTAGCTGGGATTACAGCTGTCCATGACCATGCCTGGCTAATTTTTTGTATGTTTAGTAGAGACAGGGTTTCACCATGTTGGCCAGGCTGGTCACAAACTCCCGACCTCAAGTGATCCGCCTGCCTCGGCCTCCCAAAATGCTGGAATTGCAGGCGTAAGCCACTGCGCCCGGCCTGCGTTCTTTCTTGATTTGCCTTCCTACATGTTTCTTTCATACTCTGATTACAGTGAGCCCTCTGTGTATGCGAGTTTGCGTCCGTGAATTCAACCAGCTGCAGGTTGAAAATATTTAGGGACTGGCCTGGGCAACAGAGAGAGACCTGGTCTCCACAAAAATGAAAAAATTAGCCCAGCATAGTAGTGAGCACCTGTAGTCCCAGTTACATGGGAGGCCAGGATGGGAAGATCAGTTGAGCCCAGTCTGGGCAATAGCCCATCCCTCAACCCCCACCCCCAATGTCTCTTAAAAAAAACACACACACACTATTGCAGCACTGTTCACAATAGGCAGATATGAAATCAAACTAAATGTCCATCAACAGATGAATGGATAAAGAAAATGTAGGCCGGGGTCGGGCACAGTGGCTCACACCTCTAATCCCAACACTTTGGGAGGCCAAGGCAGGCAGATCACCTGAGATCGGGAGCTTGAGACCAGCCTGACCAACATGGAGAAACCCCGTCTCTACTAAAAATACAAAATTAGCCGGGTGTGGTGGTGCATGCCTGTAATCCCAGCTACTCAGGAGACTGAGTCAGGAGAATCCCTTGAACCCAGGAGGCAGAGGTTGCAGTGAGCTGAGATTGTGCCATCGCACTCTGGCCTGGGCAACAAGAGTGAAACTCTGTCTCAAAAAAACGAAAGAAAAGAAAATGTAGGCCGGGCACAGTGCCTCATGCCTGTAATCCCAGCACTTTGGGAAGCCGAAGTGGGTGGATCACATGAGGTCAGGAGTTTGAGACCAGCCTGGCCAACATGGTGAAACCCTGTCTCTACTAAAAATACAAAAATTAGCTGGGCATGGTGGCAGGTGCCTGTAGTCCCAGCTACTCGGGAGACTGAAGCAGGAGACTCATTTGAACCCCGGAGGCAGAGGTTGCAGTGAGCCAAGGTCACACCACTGCACTCCAACATGGGCAACAGAGTGAGACTTCATCTCTAATAATAAAAAAAAAGAAAATGTGTATATAGGCTGGGTGCAGTGGCTCAAAATACAAAATTTAGCTGGGCATGGTGGCATGCACCTGTAGTCTTAGCTACTCGGGAGGCTAAGATGGGAGGATTGCTGCCTAAGACGCAGAGGTTGCAGTGAGCTGAGGTCATGCCACTGCACTCCAAACTGGGTGACAGAGCAAGACTCAATCTAAAAAAAAAAGAAAATGTGTATATATACACAGTGGAACAGTATTCAGCAACAGAAGAGAATGAAATCCTGTCATCTGCAGCAACATGGATGAACCCTGAGGACATTATGTTAAGTGAAATAAGTCAGCACAGAAAGGCAAATATTGTATGCTCACTCATGTGGGAGCTAAAAACATGGATCTCATGGAAGTAGAGAGTAGAATGGTGGTTACCAAAGGCTAGGAAGGGTAGAGGGACAGAATGCATAAAGAGGTTGGTTAATGAATACAAAAATCCAGTCAGATTGAATGAATAAGTTCTAGTGTTCAGTTCCACAGTAGTGTTACTATAGTTAATAATTTATTGTGTATTTCAAAATAGCTAGAAGAGATTTGATATGTTTCCAAGACAAAGAAATGATAAATGTTTGAGATAGTGGATATCCCAATTATCTTGGTTTTATCATTGTACATTGTATGCATGAGTCAAAATAGCACAGGTACCCCATAAATATGTACAATTATTATGTGTCAATGAAGAAAAAAGAAAATGTGGTATATATACACAGTGGAATACTATTCAGCCTTTAAAAAGAAGGAAATTCCAGCCAAGCATGGTGGCTCACACCTGTAATCCCAGCACTTTGGGAGACCAATGTGGGTGGATCACTTGAGTCTAAGAGTTCAAGACCAAACCCCATCTCTACAACAAATACAAAAAATTAGCCGGGCACTTTGGCACATGCCGTAGTCCCAGCTACTTGGGAGGCTGAGGTGGGAGGATCTCCTGAGCCCAGCAGTTGGGAGTTGCAGTGAGCCAACATCATGCCACTGCACTCCAGCCTGGGTGACAGAGTGAAACTGTCTTGAGAGAGAGAGACTATTCAGGGAACTCTCTTATTAGGCTATGATGTTTTTCTTTCTTTCTTTCTTTCTTTCTTTTTTTGAGACAGGGTCTCTGTCACTCAGGCTGGAATGCAGTGGTATGATGAGAGACTATTCAGGGAACTCATATTAGGCTATGATGTTTTTCTTTTTCTCTTGGGTTTTTTTTTTTTTTTTTTTTTGAGACAGAGTCTCTGTCACTCAGGCTGAAGTGCAGTGGTATGATCACAGCTCACTACAGTCTTGACCTTTGGGGTTCAAGTAGTTCTCCTACCTCAGCCTCCCGGGTAGCTGAGACTACAGGACTACAGGTCCCCGTCCCCACACCTAATTTTTTTGTATTTTTTGTAGAGATGGGGTTTTGCCATGTTGTCCAGGCTAGTCTCAAACTCCTGGCCTCAAGCAATCCTCATGTCTTGGCCTCCCAAAGTCCTGGGATTACATGTCTGAGCCACCATGCCCGCCTAAGGCTATGACCTTTTTGAGACAAACGTTAAATGTTATAACTACCACCCTTATTCCCAGCTTACCTTTAATAACCTGTTCAGATTTATTATTCATGAGTTTATCTAAATCCTTTCTCATCATATTTATTATGTCAACCTGTACTTCCCTTTCCCTCTTCCTCTCCCTCTTTTCTCTCCCTCTCCCTCTCTCTCTCTTCCTTCCTCCCCTTCCAGGTACCCTAGATGAACCATGGGAGGTCCTGGCTACACAGCCATTCTGTCTGAGAGAGTCTGAGGACTCTGAGACCCAGCCTTTTGACACGCACCTTGAGGCCTATGGACCTTGCCTGTCTCCACCTAGGGCAATACCAGGAGACCAACATCCAGAGAGCCCAGTTCACACAGAGCCAATGGGGATTCAAGGCAGAGGGAGGCAGACTGTGGATAAAGTCATGGGTATACCAAAAGAAACAGCAGAGAGGGTGGGCCCTGAGAGAGGGCCATTGGAGAGAGAAACTGAGAAACTGCTACCAGAAAGACAGACAGATGTGACAGGAGAGGAAGAATTAACCAAGGGGAAACAGGACAGAGAACAAAAACAGTTGTTAGCTAGAGACACCCAGAGACAAGAATCTGACAAAAATGGGGAAAGTGCAAGTCCTGAAAGAGATAGGGAGAGTTTGAAGGTAGAAATTGAGACATCTGAGGAAATACAAGAGAAACAAGTACAGAAGCAGACCCTTCCAAGCAAAGCATTTGAGAGAGAAGTAGAGAGACCAGTAGCAAACAGAGAGTGCGATCCAGCCGAGTTAGAAGAGAAGGTGCCCAAAGTGATCCTGGAGAGAGATACACAGAGAGGGGAGCCAGAGGGAGGGAGCCAGGACCAGAAAGGGCAGGCCTCCAGCCCAACACCAGAGCCTGGGGTGGGGGCGGGGGACCTTCCGGGACCTACCTCAGCCCCCGTACCTTCTGGGAGCCAGTCAGGTGGAAGGGGATCCCCAGTGAGCCCCAGGAGGCATCAGAAAGGTAAGTGAAGGCAGAGGGGAACCCAAGGTGATACACAGGCCTCGTGATAATCAACCCCTGGGCAACCAGCTGCTTGGAACTCAGCCACCTTTGTGTTTACTTTCTGTCTAGGCCTCCTGAATTGCAAGATGCCACCTGCTGAGAAGGCTTCCAGGATCAGAGCTGCTGAGAAGGTTTCCAGGGTGAGAGCTACTTTTTCTACCTCCTATTCCACAAGTCATCTCTATATCTTCTCCAATGCTCTTTCACCTAGCCTCACTTTAATCTATTCCTTTCTCATTATTCAGTTTTCTTCCATTTTTGTCACGCCTTGATTGGCTTCTATTCCTTTATCCTCGGCACCCGTTGTTTTCCATATCTGTTTCCTAAGTTGTATCTCCTACCTGACTCAAAAGAAAGACCCTTCGTGTTTCTTCTTTCTTTGCCCCAGCCATCCTTTTCCTTACCATCATCCACGTGTGGAGAACACTATAGTAGCATTATGGAGACAGGTCTGTGGGAAAAAGGTAGCTTCCCAGGTAGATCCCAGTCTAATGGAGGAGAGATCATAGACAGAAAGGAAAATCCAGTGAGCATATTTTTTGTTTTTGTTCTTTTTTGAGACAGAGTCTGTCTCTGTCACCCAGGCTGGAGTGTGCAGTGGCGTGATCTCAGCTTACTGTAACCTCCGTCTCTTGGGTTCAAACAATTTTCCTGCCGCAGCCTCCCAAGTAGCTGGGACTACAGGCGCATGTCACCCGGCTAATTTTTGTGTATTTTTTTGTTTTTTTTGAGACAGTCTCACTCTGTCACCCAGGCTGGAGTGCAGTGGCGCGATCTTGGCTCACTGCAACCTCTGCCTCCCGGGTTCAAGCGACTCTCCTCCCTCAGCCTCCCAGGTAGCTGGGACTACTAGGCGCCTGCCAACACACCTAGCTAATTTTTTTTTTTTTTTTTTTTTTTTTAGACAGAGTCTTGCTCTGTCCCCCAGGCTGGAGTGCAGTGGCACCATCTCGGCTCACTGCAAGCTCCGCCTCCCGAGTTCACGCCATTCTCCTGCCTCAGCCTTCCAAGTAGCTGGGACTACAGGCGCCCGCCACCACGCCCGGCTAATTTTTTGTATTTTTTAGTAGAGACGGGGTTTCACCGTGTTAGCCAGGATGGTCTCGGTTTCCTGACCTTGTGATCCACCCGCCTCGGCCTCCCAAAGTGCTGGGATTACAGGCATCAGCCACCATGCCTGGCCTTTTTTTTTGTATTTTTAGTAGAGACGGGGTTTCACTATGTTGGCCAGGCTGGTCTTGAACTCCTGACCTCGTGATCCGCCCGCCTCGGCCTCCCAAAGTGCTGGGATTATAGCCGTGAGCCACCACGCCCGGTGGAAATCTGGTAAGCCTATCTAACCATAAACAAGTATCAAGAACAGTATCCAAGTTCTATCTCTTTTCTCCACCTCCTCCCCCTCACTTGCTTCTGTTTCTCCCTAGGGCGATCAGGAATCTCCAGATGCTTGTCTGCCTCCTACAGTACCTGAAGCCCCAGCCCCACCCCAAAAGCCCCTTAACTCTCAGAGCCAGAAACATCTTGCACCTCCGCCCCTTCTTTCTCCCCTTTTACCTTCTATCAAGCCAACCGTTCGTAAGACCAGGCAAGATGGGAGTCAGGAAGCTCCAGAGGCTCCCTTGTCCTCAGAGCTGGAGCCTTTCCACCCAAAGCCTAAAATTAGAACTCGGAAGTCCTCCAGAATGACACCCTTTCCAGCTACCTCTGCTGCCCCTGAGCCCCACCCTTCCACCTCCACAGCCCAGCCAGTCACTCCCAAGCCCACATCTCAGGCCACTAGGAGCAGGACAAATAGGTCCTCTGTCAAGACCCCTGAACCAGTTGTCCCCACAGCCCCTGAGCTCCAGCCTTCCACCTCCACAGACCAGCCTGTCACCTCTGAGCCCACATCTCAGGTTACTAGGGGAAGAAAAAGTAGATCCTCTGTCAAGACCCCTGAAACAGTTGTGCCCACAGCCCTTGAGCTCCAGCCTTCCACCTCCACCGACCGACCTGTCACCTCTGAACCCACCTCTCAGGCTACTAGGGGAAGAAAAAATAGATCCTCTGTCAAGACCCCTGAACCAGTTGTCCCCACAGCCCCTGAGCTCCAGCCTTCCACCTCCACAGACCAGCCTGTCACTTCTGAGCCCACATATCAGGCTACTAGGGGAAGAAAAAATAGATCCTCTGTCAAGACCCCTGAACCAGTTGTGCCCACAGCCCCTGAGCTCCGGCCTTCCACCTCCACAGACCGACCTGTCACCCCCAAGCCCACATCTCGGACCACTAGGAGCAGGACAAATATGTCCTCTGTCAAGACCCCTGAAACAGTTGTCCCCACAGCCCCTGAGCTCCAGATTTCCACCTCCACAGACCAACCTGTCACCCCTAAGCCCACATCTCGGACCACTAGGAGCAGGACAAATATGTCCTCTGTGAAGAACCCTGAATCAACTGTCCCTATAGCCCCTGAGCTCCCACCTTCCACCTCCACAGAGCAGCCTGTCACCCCTGAGCCCACATCTCGGGCTACTAGGGGAAGAAAAAATAGATCCTCTGGCAAGACCCCTGAAACACTTGTCCCCACAGCCCCTAAGCTCGAGCCTTCCACTTCCACAGACCAACCTGTCACTCCTGAGCCCACATCTCAGGCCACCAGGGGCAGGACAAATAGGTCCTCTGTGAAGACCCCTGAAACAGTTGTCCCCACAGCCCCTGAGCTCCAGCCTTCCACCTCCACAGACCAGCCTGTTACCCCTGAGCCTACGTCTCAGGCTACTAGGGGAAGAACAGATAGATCCTCTGTCAAGACTCCTGAAACAGTTGTCCCCACAGCCCCTGAGCTACAGGCTTCCGCCTCCACAGACCAGCCTGTCACCTCTGAGCCCACATCTCGGACCACTAGGGGAAGAAAAAATCGGTCCTCTGTCAAGACCCCTGAAACAGTTGTGCCCGCAGCCCCTGCGCTCCAGCCTTCCACCTCCACAGACCAACCTGTCACCCCTGAGCCCACATCTCGGGCCACTAGGGGCAGGACAAATAGGTCCTCTGTCAAGACCCCTGAATCAATTGTCCCTATAGCCCCTGAGCTTCAGCCTTCCACCTCCAGAAACCAGCTTGTCACCCCTGAGCCCACATCTCGGGCCACTAGGTGCAGGACAAATAGGTCCTCTGTCAAGACCCCTGAGCCAGTTGTCCCCACAGCCCCTGAGCCCCATCCTACCACCTCCACAGACCAGCCTGTCACCCCCAAGCTCACATCTAGGGCCACTAGGAGAAAGACAAATAGGTCCTCTGTCAAGACTCCCAAACCAGTTGAACCAGCAGCCTCTGATCTTGAGCCTTTTACCCCCACAGACCAGTCCGTCACCCCTGAGGCCATAGCTCAGGGTGGTCAGAGCAAAACACTGAGGTCTTCCACAGTAAGAGCTATGCCGGTTCCTACCACCCCTGAATTCCAATCTCCTGTCACCACAGACCAGCCTATTTCCCCTGAGCCTATTACTCAACCCAGTTGCATCAAGAGGCAGAGAGCCGCTGGGAACCCTGGCTCCCTCGCAGCTCCCATTGACCATAAGCCTTGCTCTGCACCCTTGGAACCTAAATCCCAGGCCTCAAGGAACCAAAGATGGGGAGCAGTGAGAGCAGCTGAATCCCTTACAGCCATTCCTGAGCCTGCCTCTCCCCAGCTTCTTGAGACACCAATTCATGCCTCCCAGATCCAAAAGGTGGAACCAGCAGGTAGATCTAGGTTCACCCCGGAGCTCCAGCCTAAGGCCTCTCAAAGCCGCAAGAGGTCTTTAGCTACCATGGATTCACCACCACATCAAAAACAGCCCCAAAGAGGGGAAGTCTCCCAGAAGACAGTGATTATCAAGGAAGAGGAAGAAGATACTGCAGAGAAGCCAGGGAAGGAAGAGGTGAGGAGAGGGTTGGGACCACAAAGCTGGGAAAAATGACTTCAGGGCTCTGAAACTCCCACCAAGATTTTTCTCAATCTCAGGATGTCGTGACTCCAAAACCAGGCAAGAGAAAGAGAGACCAGGCAGAGGAGGAGCCCAACAGAATACCAAGCCGCAGCCTCCGACGGACCAAACTTAACCAAGAATCAACAGCCCCCAAAGTAAGAGACAAAGGCATGGGACTTTGTGGGAGACAGAGATGAGGGGAGGATGCAAGGAGACCTAGAGGATTGTAGAGATGGGTGCTGATGGCATGGGTTGCCGTAACCACCTCAGGTCAACCCTTCCACAGGTGCTCTTCACAGGAGTGGTGGATGCTCGGGGAGAGCGGGCTGTGCTGGCACTGGGGGGAAGTCTGGCTGGTTCAGCGGCAGAGGCTTCCCACCTGGTCACTGATCGCATCCGCCGGACAGTCAAGTTCCTGTGTGCCCTGGGGCGGGGAATCCCCATTCTGTCCCTGGACTGGCTGCATCAGGTGAGAGGCCAAGGGATGATGACAGACCGATATAGTGGCAAGACTGCTCATATAGTGCCCTAGAAAGTGGTGGAAGGGAAGAGGCGTTACAGGAAGACAGGGGCATTGGTGAGCCAGAAGCCTGCATTGATTTAAAAGACATTTTGTGAGCTCTCTCTAAATGCTAGGCAGCAGAGCTGATTGAGGGGCTGGGCTGAGCTTTGATGCTGACTGCTGCCGTCCTTAGTCCCGCAAGGCTGGTTTCTTCTTACCCCCGGATGAATATGTGGTGACCGACCCTGAGCAAGAGAAGAACTTTGGCTTTAGCCTTCAAGACGCACTGAGCAGGGCTCGGGAGCGAAGGCTGCTAGAGGTGAGAGGCTATCTTTTAACCTGTGCTTCAGCCCTCCCTCCAGTGCTTCCCAATCTACAATACCATCTCCATCATTTCTTTCTCTTAGGGCTATGAGATCTATGTGACCCCTGGAGTCCAGCCACCACCACCTCAGATGGGAGAGATTATTAGCTGCTGTGGAGGCACATACCTACCCAGCATGCCTCGGTCCTATAAGGTATGCTTAGGATGTTCTGGGTCTGGGTGAGGTGGCAGTGGCAGTTAAAGAGGTGGCTGGAATGGCAAAGATTGGAGGGAAAAAAATGGAGGTTCAGAAAGGAATATAAAGTAGTGAGAGGGTGGGGGAAAAGACCTATGGTATAGAAAGGGATAGGAATGAGGGGACAGATCTGCTGATACCCCCATATAACAATCACCGAGATTCAGCAGCAGCTTAATTTAGATTATGCTACATTTGCTCCATCTATCCCTTTTTTCCTTTGATTTTCTTTTTTTTTTTTTTTTTTTTTTTTTGAGATGGAGTCTCACTCTCAGGCTGGAGTGCAGTGGCACAATCTCGGCTCACTACAATCTCTGCCTCCTGGGTTCACACCATTCTCCTGCCTCAGCCTCCCGAGTAGCTGGGACTACAGGTGCCCGCCACCACGCCCGGCTAATTCTTTTGTATTTTTAGTAGAGATGGGGTTTCACTGTGTTAGCCAGGATGGTCTTGATCTCCTGAGGTCATGATCTGCCCGCCTCGGCCTCTCAAAGTGCTGGGATTACAGGCGTGAGCCACCGCGCCCGGCTTTTTCCTTTGATTTTCTTTGCTGAAGTATTTCATTTCTTTTTATTTTTCTTTATTCTTTCTTTTTTTCCTTTCTCTTTCTTTGCTGAAATATTTTAAAGCAAACTGCCAATATTATATTATTTCTTCCTACATACTTAAATATATATCTCTAAGAAATACGTACATTTTATTTCATAATCACAATGCCATTATTGATCCTAAGCAAAATTAACAGTAGTTTATTGGTCATTTGCTCACACTCCATTAATAAAATTTCTCCCATTGTCTGAAAAATGTCTCTATACAGTTGTTCAAATCAGGATTCAAATAAGGTCCACATACTGCCACACCTATTATCTTCTTAATTATCTTTACTCTAGAGCATCCCTTAACCCACCCAGCTTTTTTTATGCCATCTATTTCCTGCAGAAGCTGGGTCACTTGTCCTTTAGAATGTTCCTCAGTCTGGAATTTTGGGTTTGCCTCCTTGTCATATAATTTATCTTGTTCCTCTGTACTCCATATTTCCTGGAAATTGCAGATAATTGTAAAAGCTTGAATAAATTCAGGTTCATCTTTCTAGCAAAAGTATTTTTTTTTTTTGAGAGAGTCTCACTCTGTCGCCAGGCTGGAGTACAGTGGAGCAGTCTTGGCTCACTGCAACCTCCATCTCCCGGGTTCAAGCTGTTCTCCTGCCTCAACCTCCCGAGTAGCTGGGACTACAGGCGCACACCACCACGCCCAGCTAATTTTTTTATTTTTACTAAAGACGGGGTTTCACCATGTTGGCCAGGATGGTCTCGATCTCTTGACCTCGTGATCCACCCACCTCGGCCTCCCAAAGTGCTGGGATTATAGGCGTGAGCCACTGTGCCTGGCCTCTAGCAAGAGTATTTCTTTTTTTTTTTTCTTTTTTTTTTTCTTTTGAGATGGAGTCTTGCTCTGTAGCCCAGGCTGGAGTGCAGTGGCGCGATCTCGGCTCACTGCAAGCTCCGCCTCCTGGGTTTTCACGCCATTCTCCTGCCCCAGCCTCCCGAGTAGCTGGGACGACAGGCACCCGTCAGCGCGCCCGGCTAATTTTTTTTTTTTTTTTTTTTTGTATTTTTAGTAGAGACAGGGTTTCACCGTGGTCTTGATCTCCTGACCTCGTGATCCACCCGCCTCAGCCTCCCAAAGTGCTGTGTAATTACAGGCATGAGCCACTGCGCCCGGCCTAGCAAGAGTATTTCATAGACAGTATGCGGTGTGCTTCACTTGGCTTCATATTAGGAGGTATTATTTTAGTGATGGTAAGACTGGTTAGTGGGTCCTGAACCCATTTCTAGGATTCTTTTTCACCTGATTTTGCCTTTGCTCTGTCTTCCCCAGCCTCAGAGAGTTGTGATCACATGCCCTCAGGACTTCCCTCATTGCTCCATTCCACTACGGGTTGGGCTGCCCCTCCTCTCGCCTGAGTTCCTGCTGACTGGAGTGCTGAAGCAGGAAGCCAAGCCAGAGGCCTTTGTCCTCTCCCCTTTGGAGATGTCATCCACCTGAGAACTCCACTACCCTTTTCCCTCCCAGACCACGAATTAGAAGATATGTGGAAGAAAGAACTCAGGGCGTTAGAAAGGATTGGGGTATATTGATACAACTTGTCCTGGAACATGGGTGGGACCAGAAATCTTTATGAATAAATGAAAAGATAAGGGATTTGGAAGCCACAGGTTGTTTTTTGTTTGTTTGTTTGTTTTTTTAATGGCCATTTTATTTTATTTGTATTTATAGTTTTTTATTTGTATAGATTTAGGGGATACAAGATTTCTTACATGCATGTATTAAATGGCCATTTTAAAATTAGCTAGTTTCATGCTCAGATGTCATAAGTGGCAGCTATCTTTAGCCAGACTGTTGCAGTTATTGCTCGATGCCACTCATGGTGTCCTACCTCCTATTTGGAAACCATCTCTATTTTTTTCTTACTGAGATTCTTACTTTGGGGTCAGGAACTTGAAGGGATGCTTGGAGTGAGTAGATTTGAGGGTCCAGTTATGGAGTGCTACTAAAACATTTTCTTCTCTCCTGGCCTCTGGAAGCATCTTTAGCTTTGACTTTGGGCAAGTCTCTGTACTTTTCTGGCCAGCTTTTCCAGGATTTATAAAATTAGAGCTTCGGCTTGACCTCTGTGATAAATAAATATTCACTCTGTGCCTTATGGTGTAGTGTAGTTTTTTAAAATGTCTAGGTCTCAAGACACAAACTTAAAAAAAAAAAAGTCATAGACTTGTATTTAATTCATCATTATCTTCTATTTAGGACAATTTGTATGACATTTCTTAAGATTTTTTTTTTTTTCTTGAGACAGGGTCTCATCTCTGTCACCTAGGCTGGAGTGCAGTGGCACCATCTTGGCTCACTGCAACCTCCACCTCCCAGTTCAAGCAATAGTCCCACCTCAGCCTCCTGAGTAGCTAGGACTGCAGGCACACACCACCATGCCTGGCTAATTTTCTTTTTTTTATTGTTTAGTAGAGACGGGGCTCTACTAAATTTTTGTATTTTTGGTAGAGATGAGGTTTTGTCATGTTGCCCAGGCTGGTCTCTAACTTCTGACCTCAAGTGATCCACCCACCTCAGCCTCCCGAGTAGCTGGGATTACAGGCACATGCCACCACACCCGGCTAATTTTTGTATTTGTAGTAGAGACGGGGTTTCACCATGTTGGCCATGCTGGTCTCGAACTCCTGACCTCAGGTGATCCACCTGTCTTGACTTCCCAAAGTGCTGGGATAACAGGCATGAGCCGCCATGACTGGCCTTTTATCTTTTTGAGTCAAGGTGTCACTCTGTTGCCCAGGCTGAAGTGCAGTGGCTCGATGTCGGCTTACTGCAGCCTTGACCTCCTGGGCTCAAACGATTTTCCTCTCAGCCTCCCAAGTAGCTGGGACCATAGGTGTGTGCAACCATGCCCGATGAATTTTGTATTTTTGGTAGAGACGAGGTTTTGTCATGTTGCCCAAGCTGGTCTCTAACTCGTGACCTCAAGTGAGCCACCCACCTCAGCCTCCAAAAGTGCTGGGATTACAGGCTTGAGCCACCGTGCCCAGCCAGATTTAAATTTTAAAAGTTGGTTGATTACAAGGATGTGGAGAAATTAGAATCCTTATACATTGCTGGTAGGAATGTTAAATGGTTCAGCCTCTGTGGTAAACAGTTTGATGGTTCCTCAAAAAGTTAAACATATGGATGGGCACAGTGGCTCACACATGTAATCCCAGCACTTTGGAGGCCAAGGCTGGCAGATCACTTGAGCTCAGAAGTTCACGGCCAGCCGGGCAACATGACAAAACCTCGTCTCTACCAAAAATACAAAAATTCACTGGGCATGGTGGCACACACCTATGGTCCCAGCTACTTGGGAGGCTAAGAGGAAAATCGTTTGAGCCCAGGAGGTCAAGGCTGCAGTGGGTGGACACGAGCCACTGCACTTCAGCCTGGGCAACAGAGTGAGACCTTGTCTCAAAAAAATAAAAGGCCAGTCACGGCAGCTCATGCCTGTAATCCCAGCACTTTGGGAAGTCAAGACAGGTGGATCACCTGAGGTCAGGAGTTAGAGACCAGCCTGGCCAACATGGTGAAATCCCGTCTCTACTTAAAATACAAAAATTAGCCGGGCGTGGTGGCATGTGCCTGCAATCCCAGCTACTTGGGAGGCTGAGGCAGAAGAATTGCTGGAACCCGGGAAGTGGAGGTTGCAGTGAGCTGAGATCGTGCCACTGCACTCCAGCCTGGGCAACAGAACAAGACTCCATCTAAAAAAAAAAAGGCCAGGCGTGGTGGCTCACCCCTGTAATCCTAGCACTTTGGGAGGCCAAGGTGGGCAGATCACAAGATCAGGAGATTGAGACCATCCTGGCTAACATGGAGAAACCCCGTCTCTACTAAAAATACAAAAAATTAGCTAGGCGTGGTGGCAGGCGCCTGTAGTCCTAGCTACTCGGGAGGCTGAGGCAGGAGAATCGCTTGAACCCGGGAGGTGGAGGTTGCAGTGAGCCAAGACTGCTCCACTGTACTCCAGCCTGGCGACAGAGCGAGACTCCCTCTCAAAAAAAAAACAAAAAAAAAAAAAGTAGCCTCTTTTCTGGCTGGAACCCTCATGTAGAGTGTTGTAGATAAGAAGGAGAGGGCCGGGGTGCAGTGGCTCACACCTGTAATCCCAACACTTTGGGAGGCCGAGGTGGGCAGGTCACCTGAGGTCAGGAGTTCAAGACCAGGCTGGCC
>NT_167249.2:1839594-1984263 GCF_000001405.40 Homo sapiens | reverse complement strand
GGCCAGGGAGCACAGTGGGAGTTCTGGACAGGGGTTGGGGCTGAGGCCAGCAGAGGGTCAGAGGTTAGACTTGCAACAAAGACCTGCAGGAAAGTGGGGGCAGCCAGGATGACTCCCCCTGGCCCTGGCCTCACTTCTTCCCTGTGCACATCCATCTGTTTCCAGCTTGAAAATCTCTAGGGAGACAGAGGTCCCACACTCAGACATCTCAGACTTAGGAAGTCCCTCCAGTCACACACATCTCCCCAGAGCCTGGGAAGCCCAGTCTCATTCTCATCCCATGTGTTAACATCCTCAGATTTGATTTTTTTGTGTCCTCAGTGTCAGTGGGGAACCACAGGGACTAAAGATACGGGTTAAGCCTTGGGTGGAGGGGGGTTCATTTGATCCCCCAATTCATCTTCACATGAAGCGTAAGCTCCCACCTCTAAGCCATGGTTCTTGGGAACCTACCCTCAGCCCTCTGACTGCTACCAGCCTGTTCCCCTCAGGGCTGGGCAGATGAAAAAAACAGAAGTCCGGAAATGCTACCCGGGTGAGGTGTTCAGAAAAGTCACTTCCTACTGAGAGAGGCTTGTGCCTCTGGGGAAGAATGAGCAGAGGGAAGCATGAAGCTTTGGGGCCCAAAGCCCAGGGAGCATCCCAGGGGAGCCAGGAAGCAAGTGCAGGGCAGGACCTGTGCTGGT
The DNA here is from genome assembly GCF_000001405.40 of Homo sapiens. Classification (NCBI taxonomy): domain Eukaryota; kingdom Metazoa; phylum Chordata; class Mammalia; order Primates; family Hominidae; genus Homo; species Homo sapiens. Next base: position 1,983,577 of record NT_167249.2, on the reverse strand, counting down.
GACCATACCTAGGCCAGAGAGCAGGGGAGCCGGAAGCAGATCGCCCAAACAGGAAGCCTGGGGTGGGGGCCGGAAGGCTGGTGGGGCTGAGTGGGGAACCCTGGGCCCTGGGCCCTGGGCCTGCCAGATCTGTGCTCAGGATGTGGTGAGAGAATAAGGAAGCAGCCGCTGCTTGGGTGGGGGTGGGGAGGAGGCAGCACAGAGTTCCTCTGACCCAGACGCCTCACCCTCCACCCTCTACCCCCTGTCAGCAACCTGTTCTTCAGGGACTGGGTGCCTTGTCCCAGCTCTGCTGCAACACACTGGCTCAGGAATAGGAGATAGGAGGACCCTGCCACCAACCCCCGCTTCACCTTCCCTAAATAACTCGTTTGCAGGCTAATTCCATCAAATTTATCCCTGCCATCAGGAGAGAAATCCCAGCCCTGCCACTGGAGCCCAGGGGATGGCTGTGGCTGGTGCCCTACCCCAGAGGCCTCTTGGTTGGGCTGAGAGACCAGCCCCATTGTGACCTTATATAGCTGATGGGAGAGGAGCGAGTGAGTCACCCCCTCTCTACCCCCCCACTCCCATGCAGGCTGTGCATTTCTGAGAAGCCCAGTCAGAAGTTGGTGGGGGGTGAGGAGACAGGCAGGGTAGGGGGGGAGATATAAACATAGACCGAGAGCAAATAAAATAAGTCATTTTCAGAGTAGAAAATAAAGTACAGAGGTTATTATTCCAAAAGAGGATATGAGAAGAAAACAAAAATGGGTTCCCAGAAATGTGGGTAAATCTGTCAGTTACAGAAACCTAAGCGGTCCCTTCTGAGAACTTGGGATATAAGCAGTCTGGCTGCTGTCACTAGATTCTACCAGCAGTTCCACAGACATGAACTGGGGGTCAAATGTGTACAGGCTGGACCACCCGCAGATCGTTTCCCCAGCATTGGTCCTCTGATGGCACCTCATGTGAGGTCTGAACAAACCCTAACCTCTTGCATTGTACCAACTTCTAAGCTCCTTTCTTTTTTCTTTTCTTTTCTTTTTTTTTTCTGAGACAGTCTCGCTGTCTCCCAGCCTGGAGTTCAATGGTGAGATTTCGGCTCACTGCAACCTCCACCTCCCGGGTTCAAGTGATTCTCCAGCCTCAGCCTCCTGAGTAGCTGGAATTACAGGCGCACGCCACCATACCCGGCTAATTTTAGTATTTTTAGTAGAGACGGGGTTTCACCATGTTAGCCAGGCTGGTCTCGAACTCCTGACCTCAAGTGATCCACCTGTCTTGGCCTCCCAAAGTGCTGGGATTACAGGGGTGAGCCACCTTACCCGGCCCCAAGCTCCTTTCAACAGCAGACATGAGTATAATATATTAGTAAATTATCTAGTAAGTTAGAAGGTGGTAAGTGATTATGGAAAAAAAAATAGAACAGTGGAACTTAGAGGGTCAGGAGGTAGGGGGAGTGAATATGGAGACTTCAAAATAGGGTGATCAGGAGGGTCAGAGCCATGGGGATATTTTGGGGGAGTGTTCCAGGCAGAAGGAATAGCTAGTACTGTTCTGGTCCTGAGGTAGGAGTGCGTGGAGGGAACCAAGGCCAGTGTGGCTGGAGTGGAGGAAGAGGCCAGAGAGGCAAGGGGAGGGTGGCATACTGGGAGCACCCTGTAGGCTTTGGTCAGGCTCTGGGCACCTTGGGGGCAATCAAGTAGACTTTTTTTTTTTTTTTTTTTTGAGACAGAGTCTTGCTCTGTTGCCCAAGCCGTAGAGCAGTGGCGCGACCTCGGCTCACTGCAACCTCCGCCTCCCGGGTTCAAGCAATTCTCCTGCCTCGTCCTCTCGAGTAGCTGGGACTACAGGTGCACGCCACCATGCCCAGCTAATTTTTTTGTATTTTTAGTAGAGACAGGTTTCACCATGTTGGCCAGGATGGTCTCAATCTCTTGACCTTGTGATCCGCCCGCCTCGGCCTCCCAAAGTTCTGGGATTATAGGCATGAACCACCGCGCCCAGCCTGGAGTAGACTTTTTGCTCCAAGTGAGATGGGGAGACACTGCAGGGTTCAGAGCCAACAAGGAGTAACATATACAGTTCCTGAGTTCTACCTTCCCATGGGGACCCAGGTGTCATATCTGGTTTTCTTTTTTTTTCTTTTTTAGAGACAGTGTCACTCTATTGCCCAGGCTGGTCTCGAACTCCTGGGCTCAAGAAATCCTCCCGCCTCAACCTCCCAAAGTGCTGGGGCTACAGGTGTGAGCCACCATGCCTGACTGGTGTCATATTGATGCAGCTCTTAACAACCACCTGCCCAGCCACCCTTCTGGCTTCTCTCTTTTCATACCTCAGTTCATTAGGGGACTCAGGGATGTACGGCTGACCCCAAGTCTTCCCAAACAGATGCCAGGGAAGGCCTGAGTAGATCATTTGGACCTTTCCAAGTAGTTCATATGGAATCCTCCTGCTGTCTCCCTAATCCCTTTGGCTCCTAGACTTAATCCCACCCTGCCCCTTCCCCCTGAGCTTCTTAATAGGGCAAAGGGGAAGGGTAGAAAGGCAGTGAGAACAGCTGGGACTCGCCTGCTCTTGGGACAGTGTGATTACCAAGGGTTTTCTGTGCCCTGTCTGGTATTTTGTCTCTGTGCCTGTCCCTTTGGGCACACTGTGGACCCCCACCCCAGGTTTGTGTGGACTTTCCTTTCTGCCCTTGTCATCTCCCCCAGCCTTCAGGGTGTCAGCGGCTCATCTTTCCCCTGTGTGTTGCTGGAGTCTCTTGGTTCCTCTCGGCCTTTCTGTTCATCTCCCATCTCTTCCTAGGCCCTAGACTCCCTTTGCTATGGATAGGAGAGGAATGAGGAGAGTAGGAGGGAACAGGTGCCCAGGGTCCTGGGTTTTGCATAGGACAGCAAGGGGCTGTGGGTATGAAAACCTTGCTTTTGTCTGAGACTCGCTCCCCAGCCAGTTCTTTCCCCACTGGCCAGTCTGCTGGGCTCCTCTGGGAAGTTCACTCGATTGCCCCCAAGGTGCCCAAAGACTCGGTTCTGATCACAAGACTTATCGCCATGTATTTTAATTTCTTTTTACCCCTCTGCCTCCCACACTCGAAATAGCAGGGACCTTGGTCTTATATTATTCACTTCTGCCTCCCAAGCCCCTGCCAACGTACAGGGCAAAGTCTGATGTTTTGAAATGATATGATCGAAGAGGGAAACTCTAGAATTGGAGAGCCAGTATGGAAAGGAAAACTGGATCCCAGAGTGGATGGGGAGAGTGAGTGGGGCACCTGAGTCCAGCCCCCACCCCCACGTTCCGCCAGTCCCACCTGCTCCCTTGCAGACTCCGCCCCCCCCGCCCCCGCTTTCTCTCCCTCAACCCCCGCGGGCTTCTCCCCTGCTGACCTTGCCTCCTGCCCCCTTTTTCTCCCTCCTTCAGCTTAAGATCTCCTTCAGCGAGACAGCCCTGGAGACCACGTACCAATACCCCTCCGAGAGTTCGGTACTGGAGGAGCTGGGCCCGGAGCCTGAGGTCCCCAGTGCCCCCAACCCTCCAGCAGCCCAACCCGACGACGAAGAGGATGAGGAAGAGCTGCTGCTGCTGCAGCCAGAGCTCCAGGGCGGGCTGCGCACCAAGGCCCTGATTGTGGGTAAGCGGAGGCTCCGCCGGCCCGAGGGCGCCCCCTGCTGTCAGAGCGGGCGCTGTGGTCCAGGAGAGAGGAGGGAGGATTACATGTAGGCACTCGGAAGGGGCTTGGCGGGTCCTCTGGTTCAACATGCTCCTTTAACAGATGGGCAAACTGAGGTCCCCGGCAGTGAAGTACACATTGAGTCTTCAGGTTTCAAAACGAGAACTCTTCCTGAGTGCTGTAATCTGGTCAAAATCACAGGGTGGGTCGACAGGCCTGAGTTGGAATTCCAGCTTGTCTCTTTAATTGTGTGATCTCAGGGAAACCATCTGATCTCTTGCTTTAGTTTATTATTTATGAAATGAAGTTAATAATAACTACCTCCTGTGGCTCATGCCTGTAATCCCAGCACTTCGGGAAGCCAAGACGGGTGGATCGCTTGAGCCCAGGAGTTCAAGACCACCCTGGGCAACATGGCAAAATCCTGTCTCTACAAAAAAATTGAAAAATTATCCAGGTGTGGGCCGGGCACGGTGGCTCACGCCTGTGATCCCAGCACTTTGGGAGGCCGAGGCGGGCGGATCACGAAGTCAGGAGATCGAGACCATCCTGGCTAACACGGTGAAACCCCATCTCTACTAAAAATACAAAAAAAAATTAGCTGGGCGTGGTGGCGGGCACCTGTAGTCCCAACTACTTGGGAGGCTGAGGCAGGAGAATGGCGTGAACCTGGGAGGCGGAGCTTGCAGTGAGCCGAGGTCGTGCCACTGCACTCCAGCCTTGACAACAGAGTGAGACTCCGTCTCAAAAAAAAAAAAAAAAATTAGCCAGGTGTGGCAGTGCGCAGCTGTGGTTCCAGGTACTTGGAAGGCTGAGGTGGGAGCATCGTTTGACCTCAGGAGTTGGAGGCTGCAGTGAACCAATATTGCACCACCCACTGCACTCCAGCCTGGGCAACAAAGGAAGACCTGTCTCAAAAGAAACAAACAGGCCAGGCACGGTGGCTCACGCCTGTAATCTCAGCACTTTGGGAGGCCGAGGCAGGTGGATCACTCAAGGTCAGAAGTTCAAGACCAGCCTGGCCAACATAGTGAAAACCCATCTCTACTAAAAATACAAAAATTAGCTAGGCATGGAGGTGGACACCTGTAATCCCTGCTACTCGGGAGTCTGAGGCAGGAGAATCACTTGAACCCGGGAAGCAGAGGTTGCAGTGAGCCGAGATGACGCCACTACACTCCAGCCTGGGTGACAGAGTGAAATTCTGTCTCAAAAAAACAGAAACCAAAAACTACCTCCTAGACTTGTAGAAAATATTAAGTAATTTTATTTATTTATTTATTTATTTATTTTGAGACAGCGTCTCCCTCTGTCGCCTGGACTGGAATGCAGTGGCACAACCTTGGCTCACTGCAACCTCTGCCTCCCAAATTCAAGCGATTCTTGTGCCTCAGCCTCTCTAGTAGCTGGGATTACAGATGTGTACCATCACACCTGGCTAGTTTTTATATTTTTAGTAGAGACAGGGTTTCCCCATGTTGGTCAGGCTGGTCTTGAACTCCTGACCTCAAGTGATCCTCCTGCCTCAGCCTCCCAAATTGCTTGGATTACAGGTGCTCCAGGCCAAGATTAAGTAATTTTTTGTGAAGCACCAAGAGCCACAGCTGGATATCATATTACTTAATCTCTCCTGGAGTTATGGTGAGATTAAACAGTTATAAGGATGCCTGGCACAGAGTCCGAGCTAAATGAGTGATGGATGTGGTTACTGGTGGTAACATGCTTTAGATATGGAAGATATTATAGGACTTCCTGCATGCCAACTGCCCTTCAATTTGTGTGGGGGGGAAGGGTGGGCAGAAGGCAGAGGCTCTCACTCATTCTCTAACATTATTGCCCCCTCTCCCACAGATGAGTCCTGCCGGCGGTGACCATCTTCCAACATAGGGATATACCTCCCTCCTTCTTATAACTGAAGATCCTGGAGCCCGGAAGATTCAGGGCAGACAGACCCTGATAATGAGCCTGGCAGGGAAGGGCAACCAACATCTTGTAACTTGCTTTCCCCACCCTGTTTCTGGGGGCAGAGCCAATTGCCCAATTTCTACCCTAATCCAAAGTCCCTGGTGTGGGTGGGGTTAAACGTGCTGGTGCATCCTAGGTCATCCAAGAGTGAGCGCCAAGTCCTGAGAAGGGGCACAGAACTCCCTGGAGGGTGGAGATGGAGCACCTGCCCCCCATGGCAGGGTACACTCTCCCCACAGCCTTCCTCCCCACCATCCCGTGGGGACTCTCGGGATTTAAGCACTCGTCTCTCTGGGAGGCCCAGACCCCACTCCATTTATAGGCACATCTCCTTCATTTCCTAGGTCACTGCCCCTTTGTTTACAGCTCCTGCCTCCTCCCTTGACCACAGCCTGGTTTACAAATTCCATCAGCTCCCAGCCCCACCTGCCAAAGTCCCAGGTTTACAAGCCACGCTTACTTGCTGTGTCTGCGTGGAATTCTCTCCTCTGTCCCCTCCAGTCTCCTCATTGGAGTGACCTGAAGGTGTGGCTTCCTCCACTTTTTCTCAGTATTACTTTGCCTTAGTTTTCCCCAAGAGGGAAGGCTGGAACTCTTAACTCTGTACCCCTTGATAGTTATTTAATTCTGTTTCTCCTAGTGGTTCACAATTGAACTGAATTGAGATGGTGTCGGGTGGCTAAGGAGACACCTCACCTCTCCTTCCCCATTGTGCCGCCTTTATCAATTGCCTGTTTTGTTTTGTTTGTTTTTTAACTTTCCATAATAAAATGGAGTTCTCTTCAACTCGTCTGCTTCTCCTTCTTTGGGAAAAAAAAAGGGTATGTGAGGGGAGGCTCTGGTGGCTGGGGGAGAGGAAAATGATGGGGGATGAACCAGGAACTCGGCACTGACATGTCAAAAGGGGTCTGGGAAGCTGCACGTGGGTTTCACGCAGGACAAGCAGGTGACATGAGAAAGGGCAGTTGAAGTGTCCACTAGACTGGAAGTGCCATGAGGGCTGACTACATCAGCTGGATTCACTGCAATATCCTGTACCTGTCAACTAGTAGACACGGAATTATTTCTAGAATGAATGACAACAAATGAATGAATAGAAGAAAAGGGTTAAAATATTACAGAGGACACTTTGAGTTGAAGGGTTCTAGTATTCAGAAGCCTGCTGCCATGAAGGCAGCTAGGTAGTGTATGACACAACCCATGTGGCTAATCCAGGGATACTTACTTAAAGAGCTGGGGCTACGAATACTAAATCTGAAATTGCTGCAAAATGAAGTAAGTATGTACAAGAGTCAGTTTCCTGGAAAAGGTTCCCCTCTGATAGACAATGGATTTTATATCGTTAAAGGCCTAAAGGCCGGGCACGGTGGCTCACGCCTGTGATCCCAGCACTTTGGGAGGCCGAGGCAGGCGGATCATAAGGTCAGGAGATTGAGACCATCCTGGCTAACACGGTGAAACCCCGTCTCTACTAAAAATACAAAAAATTAGCGGGGCATAGTGGTGGGCACCTGTAGTCCCAGCTACTCGGGAGGCTGAGGCAGGAGAATGGCATGAACCCGGGAGGTGGAGCTTGCAGTGAGCTGAGATTGCGCCATTACACTCCAGCCTGGGCAGCAGAGTGAGACTCCATCTCAAAAAAAAAAAAAAAGGTTTAAAAACCATCTTGATAGTGCATGGCTTTGGTGCCCATGTAGTTGATATTTGGAATTTTCCAATTTCAAAGAATATCTTATACAAATGTGGAACATCAATATTTTACTCATCAGGAAAATTTGTTTGTTTGTTGTTAGCTCTCCAGGCTAACAAAGATATGGTTGAATAGTTATAGTCCTTCTACCACTACAAGTTGCTCCTCTCAGACTGGTCAGAGGAGGCCCCACACCTTTACTATAAAACAAAATATATGAGACAAATTGAACTTAAGCATACGCCAAAGGTTTTCAATTTACTAGCAAGAGAACAAGCCAGGTGTCAAAAGACTCAGCCAGTTCAGAGAAGGTCTGGGTAGGGAAGGAAACAGAATGATTATATTAGTAGCCTGTTAGGTAAAGGTCTTAAAAAGTTTCCAGTTGTGACCCAGGAAAACAGAGTTAGGAAGCTCCGAGGTGCCAGGGGTGCTCACAGTCCATCTCAGAAACAGAAAACAATGCATTCAAGAGGTCAGGCCAGGTGTGGTGGCTCATGCCTGTAATCCTAACACTTTGGGATGCCAAGGCGGGTGGACTGCCTCATCTGAGGAGTTTGAGACCAGCCTGGGCAACATGATGAAACCCCGTCTCTACTAAAATACAAAAAATTAGCTGGACGTGGTGGCACGCACCTGTAGTCCCGCCTACTCAGGAGGCTGAGGCAGGAGAATTGCTTGAACCCAGGAGGTGGAGGCTGCAGTGAGCCAAGATCACGCCACTGCATTCCAGCCTGGGCGACAGAGTGAGACTCCGAGACTCCCTTTCCAAAAAAAAAAAAAAAAAAGTCAGTGATGTAGATCCACTTGTGGCTATTAATAAGAACAATGTTTCATTTCCTAACAGTAGTGCCTGGTAACTGCAATTAATCACAAAAGTATGATGCAGGATCAAACAAATCAGACAGCAGAGCATCGAGTAACAAATTCAGCTTTTTGTTTTGTTTGTTTTTTTTTTTTGAGCATAGTCTTGGTCTGTTGCCTAGGTTGGAGTGCCTGACCTCGGCTCACTGCAACCTCTGGCTCCTGGGCTCAAGAGATTCTCCTGTCTCAGGCCCAGTGCGGTGGCTCACGCCTGTAATCCCAGCACTTTGGGAGGCCGAGACGGGCGGATCATGAGGTCAGGAGTTTGAGACCAGCCTGACCAACATGGTAAAACCCCATCTGTATTAAAAATACAAAAACTAGCTGGGCGTGATGGCATGTGCTTGTCACACTTGTAATTCCAGCTACTCAGGAGGCTGAGGCAGGAGAATCACTTGAACCTGGGAGGCGGAAGTTGCAGTGAGCCGAGATCGTGCCATTGCACTCCAGTCTGGGCAACAGAGCGAGACTCTGTCTCCAAAAAAAAAAAAAAAAATTCTCCTGTCTCAGTCTCCAGAGTAGCTGGGACTACAGGTGCACACCTCCACACCTGGCTAATTTTTTGTAGAGATGGTGGGGTCTCACCCTGTTGCCCAGGCTGGTCTCAAACCCCTGGTCTCAAGATATCCTCCTGCCTCAGCCTCCCAAAGTGCTGGGATTACAGCAAGAGCCACTGCACCTGGCCTTGCTTACTTTTAAATAAGCAGCCACCAGTGATTTTCTCAAGCTGTTAAGCAAAAATGCAGAACACAGTTTGCCTGTTCCTTAGTTTGGAGATTTTGTCTTTAACAACTTTCCCCAGTTCCCCAGTTTCTTCCTGCCTAGAGGTCTTCCCTTATACCTGACCTGTCTTCACTCCTGCTGCAGGCAAACCAGTCCTAGCAACGGTCACTTTTTTGTTTGTTTGAGACAGAGACTTCCTCTGTTGCTCAGGCTGGAGTGCCGTGGTGGGATCTCGGCTCACTGCAAACTCTGCTTCCCATGTTCAAATGATTCTCCTGCCTCAGCCTCCCGAGTGGCTGGGACTACAGGCGCACACCACCACGCCAGGCTAATTTTTATATTTTTAGTAGAGACAGGGTTTCGCCATCTTGGCCAGGCTGGTCTCGAACTCCTGACCTCAGATAATCCGCCCGCCTTGGCCTCCCAAAGTGCTGGGATTACAGGCATGAGCCACCGCGCCCGGCCAACAATGCTAATATGTTTTATGAGCATGGACCCGATCTTCCAATCTGAAATAGAATTTCATTCCTCCCTTACTTTGTATAGTTTTTGGCTCTATAAAATTTCCATACTTTCTTTATTATGTATCCTGTCCCTCCCCCACCGCAAAATGTAAATTTGGTAAGGAACTTTTGATTTGTCCTCTGCTATATCCCAGGGACGGAAAGCAATGAGCACACATTAGGCATCCATTAAATTAATTTCACTTGTTGAATGAATGCGTGAGCGAAGCACTCACAGACTGACCATCAGGGGGCGTCAGAGAAACTGGACAGAGGCGAAATGAAGAAAAAAGAATTACCCCGAGTTTTCAGGTATGGTTCCGCGAGGTTTGAACTCGCTCGGCCACCGTAGTGCTTAGAGGCCGAAAAAGTACAGCCCCTTCCGGGCTCCGCGGTACGGGAAGACAGCTTTGGGATGTCGGAAGATCCTAGAGGTCCCAAGGTAGCTGACTTGCGAAGCTGAGGCTCCAGCCGAGGGCTCCAGGCCTCTGACCGGCCCAGCAGTGAGCGCGGCTGCCCGACGCTTCAGGGCCGGGAGCAGGGAGCGTGAGTCGCCATGGCGACGCCGGCGGGTCTGGAGCGCTGGGTTCAGGACGAGCTGCACTCGGTGTTGGGGCTGAGCGAGCGGCACGTCGCCCAGTTTCTGATCGGTACCGCACAGCGCTGCACCTCTGCCGAGGAGTTCGTGCAGCGCCTACGAGACACTGATACCTTGGATCTCAGTGGGCCGGCCCGGGACTTCGCCCTGAGACTCTGGAACAAGGTGTCGGCAGGGGTGGGGAGGGGCCCTGTGATTTGTCCCGGTGAGGCTGGCCTAACGGTCCATCGAGAAGTTAAGAAAGCTCAGTTCACAAGCACTTATTCTTTGTCCGTTGTCGCGTAGGTACTGTGCTAGCTGCTGGACGCCCAGCTCAGTGGAGAAGATTGAGGAGGGCTTAGGTGTGTCGGGTTAAGCGCAATAGAACGGTGTTTCTCGAACTCTTAACATGCATCCAAGGTTCTTGTTAAAATGCAGATTGCGATTCAGTAGGGATCTTAGTTTCTGCATTTCTTTCTTTCTTTTTTTTTTTTTTGAGAGACACAGTCTCGCTCGCCCCGTCGCCCAGGCTGGAGTGCGGTCGTAAGATCACGGCTCACTACAGCGTCGACCTCCCTGGTTGAAGCGACCCTCCCACCTCATCTTCCCCGGTAGCTGGGACTACGGGCGCGCGCCACCACCCCCGGCTAATATCTTTTATTTTTATTTTTATTTTTAGAGATGAGGCCTTGGTGTGTTGCGCAGGCTGGTCTCTAACTCCTCAGCTCAAGCAATCCTCTCTCAGCCCCCTCAGAGTGCTGAGATTACAGGCGTGAGCCACCATGCCCGGCCCCCCTCATCTTCTGAACTTCCTTTCAGTCGTTTAATTAACAGAGGGGGCCGGGTGCAGTGGCTCACACCTGTAATCCCAGCACCCCGGGAGGCTGAGGCAGGAGGATTACTTGAGCCCAGGAGTTCGAGACCAGCCTGGGCAACATGGCGAAACCTTCGTCCTACAAAAAAATTAAAAATTAGTTGAGCGTGGTAGTGTGCACCTGTGTTTCTAGCTACTTAGGAGCCTGAGGTGGGAGGATCCCTTGAGCCCAAGAGGGACAGAGTGAAACCCTGTCTGTAAAAAAAAATAAAAAACCCCATTCAGGATGATGAAGATGGGGTGAAGCCATGAGGAAGAAAGAGAATGAATGCTGGTTAGCTGGTTTAAAACTAAGTAATTGTGCCCGGGTGCGGTGGCTCATGCCTGTAATCCCAGCACTTTGGGAGGCTGAGGTGAGTGGATCATGAGGTCAGGAGTTTGAGACCAGCCTGGCCAACATGGTGAAACCTCATCTCTACTAAAAATACAAAAATAGTCGGGCGTGGTGGCATGTGCCTGTAATCTCAGCTACTTGGGAGGCTGAGGCAGGAGAATTGCTTGAACCTGGGAGGCGGAGGTTGAAGTGAGCCGAGATCACGCCATTGCCTGACAGTGGGGCCGGGCCGCGGGGGCAGGAAAGACTAAGTAATTGCTTAAATTAGGAACAGAGCTAAGTGGGAGGGCAGAGATCAGGAGTTGCTCAGACCTCCTTATCTTCCCCTCTACTGACAGGTACCACGAAAGGCAGTGGTAGAAAAGCCAGCTCGGGCAGCAGAGCGAGAGGCCCGGGCCCTGCTGGAGAAGAACCGATCTTATAGGTTACTGGAAGACAGTGAAGAGAGCAGTGAGGAGACTGTGAGTAGGGCTGGAAGCAGCCTCCAGAAGAAACGTAAAAAGCGGAAACACCTCAGGAAGAAGCGTGAGGAAGAAGAGGAGGAAGAGGCTTCTGAGAAAGGGAAGAAGAAAACAGGGTAAGTCAGAAGCAGGGTGAGAGAGGATGGGGCAGGCTGAAGTGTTCTCTATGCCCTTATTTAATCCCCTGGATGGGCTGCAGGGGGAGTAAACAGCAGACAGAGAAGCCAGAGTCGGAAGATGAGTGGGAACGGACAGAGCGTGAACGCCTTCAGGACCTGGAGGAGCGTGATGCCTTTGCTGAGCGGGTTCGACAGCGGGACAAGGATCGGACTCGAAATGTCCTGGAACGGTCAGACAAGAAGGTGAATAGGAGCAGCATGTTCTGTAAATCCCCAAGATCCCAGGGTGAAATCTGAGGTTGGCTGTGAGTGCAGAGATAGTGATCTCTGGGAAGACAAGGGGCTGTCTCTAGTGAGATGTTCACCTCTGTGGTGAGAGAAGCCCTGTGCATCCTGTGGCTAAGACAACTGTCTGCTGTACCTGCAATCAGAGAGATTCCTCACTGAGAGGGGACATTTTTTGTGTTAGGGCGCATCTGAATGATCCTTGTGATTCTAGAGGGGAGCAGCTGTCAGTGTGGGGGCTCTTTGGCCTCACACCCCTCCATTCTTGTTTTTTCTTCTAGGCTTATGAAGAGGCTCAGAAGCGCCTCAAGATGGCCGAGGAAGACCGGAAGGCCATGGTGAGTCCCAGGGCCTAGGGAGCCAAGATCAGAAGACAAAAGGAAAGACTTTCTGATAGAGTGTATAGGGAGAGAGGATACAGAGGAAGCACAGTGTGGATGCTGATGGGGTGGTCAGGTTTCTAGAAGAGGGGCTTGGTTGTTAGGAGCCAGCTGAGGATAGACTTATGTTGTTGAGGGAAGGATCCTTCTTAAGTTGTAGGGGGAAGGAGGCTACCCATAAGTCCTCCTTGACTCTTAACTTTAGGATCAAATATACTCTATTAGTGAATGAAATTGTGAGCTTTCCCTATTCCTGAGTCCTAATGAGATATGAGGCAGCTGGAATGTTGTCAAGAAGGTTGCTGGAGGGCAAGGGCAGGGCAGCAGTCCCACTGTACAGGGATGTGCTGACCATTCAGCTTAGGCACACCATCTCCAAATACCTTCCCACCACCTAATTCCTGCACCCCTTATGTGGCTTTGTGATCTCCCTGTGTCTTCTCACTGGACAGGGACAGAGCCCTTGTAATTCATAAACTGGACTTTTTATGGTGTGAAACTAGGTAGGGTAAGCTGTTTTCCAAAGGCCTGGTCTTGTCAAGTAAAGTCACACTTAGATTCCCCAATACCCCAATAGAATTTTGAGACTCTTGAAGTTCCTTTTTTTTTTTTTTTTTTTTTTTAAACCTTTTTTCTTTTTTTTGAAACGGGGTCTTGCCCTGTCACCGAGGCTGGAGTGCAATGATGCGATCTCGGCTCACTGCAACCTCCGCCTCCTGAGTAGCTGGGATTACAGGCGCACACCACCACGCCTGGCTAATTTTTTGTACCTTTAGTAGAGACGGGGTTTCACCATGTTGGCCAGGGTGGTCTCGAACCCCTGACCTTGTGATCCACCTGCTTTGGCCTCCCAGAGAGCTGGAATTACAGGCGTGAGCCACCATGCCCAGCCTTCTTTTTATTTGTTTTGTTTTATTTTTTATTTTTATTTATTTATTTTTGAGATGGAGTCTCACTCTGTTGCCAGGCTGGAGTGTGGTGGTGCGATCTCAGCTCACTACAACCTGTGCCTCCCTGGTGGAGGAATCAAGCGATTCTCCTGCCTCAGCCTCCTGAGTAGCTGGGACTACAGGCCTGCAGTACCACACTCGGCTAATTTTTTGTATTTTTAGTAGAGGAGATTTCATCATGTTGGCCAGGATGGTCTTGATCTCTTGACCTTGTGATCTGCCCGCCTTGGCCTCCCAAAGTGTTGGGATTATAGGCATGAGCCACTACGCCTGGCCGTTTTTACTTTTTAAAATTCATTTATTTATTTTTTTGAAACAGAGTTTTGCACTTGTTGCTCAGGCTGAAGTGCAGTGGCGTGATCTTGGCTCACTGCAACTTCCACCTCCCGAGTTCAAGCGATTCTCCTGCCTCAGCCTCCAGAGTAGCTGGGATTACAGGCATGAGCCACCTCGCCTGGCTAATTTTGTATTTTTAGTAGAGATGGGGTTTCTCCATGTTGGTCAGGCTGGTCTTGAACTCCTGACCTCAGGTGATCCACCTGCCTCGGCCTCCCAAAGTGCTGGGATTATAGGCGTGAGTCACCACGTGCCCGGCCAACTTTTGGAGTTCTAAGAATGGCCTACTGGTTCCCAGGTCTCTCCTGACCAATTTATCTCATATCTCTTCCTGAAATTGACTGTGGTTAGGCTTCTGGGACATCTCAGTGCAGTTGTGGTGGTAGTGGTGTTACTGTTTTGGCCTGAATTTAATTTTTCGGGTTTTTTTTGAGACAGAATCTCATTCTGTCGCCCAGGCTGGAGTGCAGTGGCATGATCTCGGCTCACTGCAACCTCCGCCTCCCGGGTTCAAGTGATTCTCCTGCCTCAACCTCCCGAGCAGCTGGGACTACAGACATGCACTAGCATGCCTGGCTGATTTTTGTATGTTTAGTAGAGATAGGGTTTCACCATGTTGGCCAGTCTGATCTCAAACTCCTGACCTTTGGCGATCCACCCCCCTCGGTCTCCCAAAATGTTAAGATTACAGGCGTGAGCCACTGTGCCCAGCTGTAATTTTTCTTTTTCGATTACAAAAATATTTAAGCACATAGGGAAGTTGAAAGAATAGAACAAAGAACACTCATAGACACTATTCAGATTGAAAAATGGTTAATACTATGGGTAGTATTTGCATTGTAATTGTAAATGTGGTATGTTTTTTCTTTTCAGACCATTTAAAAGAGTCTTAGACATCATGGCGTTTTATCTCTAAGTACATCAGTGTGTACCTGCTAAGGATAAAGATATTGTCCTCTAAAATCAGAATGCTCTTGTCACAGTCAGGAAGTTGAACAGTAATTCTTATGTATCGACTAAGATCTCTCTACAATAAAAGATACCCTCATTACCCTCAAAATAACTTTAATGACTGCTTTTTCCTAACAAGAATGCAGTCAAGGTTCATGCATTGCATTTGGGTCTTAGATGTTAAGTTTGTTTCTCTCTCTGTCTGTCTCACCTTGCAGTGTCCTACATTCTGGATTTGCCTGATTCTTATCTTGTGGTGTTAAGTACTTCTCTGCCCTGTGCTTTCTTTGAAGCAGGAATTGGGTCTAAAGCTTATTGACACTCAGATTAAACAGTTGTGGCAGGAACACTTCTTGGGCGGTGATGTGCACTTCATATTATGTCATATCACGGGGACATACTATCCAGTTGTGTATCTATATATTAGTATTAATATCCTTTCTACCAATAGCCTTTCATCAAATGCTTTTAGAAGCCACTGGTAATCCTTTCCTGAACATGTTATTTTTATTGGGGATTGCAAAATGGTGATTTTTTTTTTTTTTTTTTGAGACAGAGTCTCGCTCTGTCGCCCAGGCTGGAGTGCA
The DNA here is from genome assembly GCF_000001405.40 of Homo sapiens. NCBI lineage: Eukaryota > Metazoa > Chordata > Mammalia > Primates > Hominidae > Homo > Homo sapiens. Next base: position 1,968,326 of record NT_167249.2, on the reverse strand, counting down.
ACGGTGCGATCTCGGCTCACTGCAAGCTCTGCCTTCCGGGTTCATGCCATTCTCCTGCCTCAGCCTCCTGAGCAGCTAGAACTACAGGCGCCTGCTGCCACGCCCGGCTAATTTTTTGTATTTTTAGTAGAGATGGGGTCTCACCATGTTAGCCAGGATGGTCTCGATCTCCTGACTTCGTGATCCTCTTGCCTCAGCCTCCCAAAGTGCTGGGATTACAGGCGTGAGCCACCGCGCCCGGCCGAAATGGTGATTTTTTGATTCTGTCATTCCTGTTACGTGTATTGGCTAGAATTTGTCTATAAAGAAGAGCTTTTCCTCAACAACTAGGAACAAGCTACAGTTCCTTCTTAAAAAGGGTAAATGTTTGTTTCCTTTTAAATACGAATTTTTAGAGTAAGGCGTTTGCTGTAACAGTCATTTCACTGGTGACAGATTTTTTTCCCTTGTTTTTTGTTTGTGTGTGTCAAATTGGACTCATGAATTTTTATTTTTCAGTATTTTATAATCTCACATCATTATTCTTTTTAATGCTCAAATGGCTCTGATTTTTTGCCCATATTAAAAAAAAAATCTATCTGGCTCTTCCATGGAAGGAATATTTGACTGTGGTACCCAGATTAGGTCATGATCATAAACTGCATTTTAAGTCTTTACAGAACAAACAAGAAAAGCCAAACAACTAAATAGAACCAGGCCCCTTAAGGGTAGAACAGCAGAGGGGCTTTTTTTTTAAAGATGCAGTTTTGTTCTTGTTGCTCAGGCTGGAGTGCAATGGCGTGAGCTAAGCTCACTGCAACCTCCGTCTCCCGGGTTCAAATGATTCTCCTGCCTCAGCCTCCCGAGTAGCTGGGATTACAGGTGCCCACTACCATGCCCAGCTAATTTTTGTATTTTCAGTAGAGACGGGATTTCACCATGTTGGCCAGGCTGGTCTCTAACTCCTGACCTTAGGTGATCCACCCACCTCAGCCTTTCAAAGTGCTGGGATTACAGGTGTGAGTCACCACGCCCACCCAGCCACCAGAGGGGCTTTGACCTTGCAGTAGAGGAAGTTGTGATCACAGAGAGGATGATGTCATAGTGGGAGGACTCCTGGCAGGAAAGGGCCTTATAGATATTGCCAGTTTTCTGCTGTCATCCATAATGTGTCCTGAAAAGTTTGTATCAAAGGTAAATGTGTAGAAACTAAGTGAGACACAGCATGGTGAAGAGAGGTTAGTACCAGAAAGCCAAACATCCCTGATTACATTTGCCTTACAGAAACACTCTGATGCTGTAGTCCTAACTTTTTATAATCAGTTTTTCTCCCTTCCTCAAACTACAGTCATTCCGTTTAAGACCAAAGAACATCTAACTGGGGCTGAAGATTGCCTCCTGTTGGCCCCCTCACTGGTTTCTATCTTTGTCTGAATTGTTTTCGGTTTGAGTCCTGTGCTTCTAAATGCTGGATTAGCCTTTTATTTTCCCCCTTTCCACTAATTTGAATAAAATGGCAAGAGTAAAATATAAGCTACGCAGACATCTCCCTAGTGCATCTATATTAACAAAGATGATAATGCTGCCTAAGAGGACTTTCCAGCTGGATTCTGCTGCAGGAAGATACGATGTGGGGTCAGCATGTAGCATCCAAAGAGGCCCAGATTTGAGTATGTCATTGTTTTGGTTGTGCATTGCAGAGGGAAGGTAGAGGGTGCATCCTGAGGTTCTCATGCCTGCCTGTCAGGGGATTTTTCCCTTGTAGGGATTGGTAGAGAAAGGGGTTGCTCCTCCAGCAAGATGAGGATTCGACTGTCCTTTCCCAACTCAGGTCCCTGAGCTGCGGAAGAAATCTCGCCGAGAGTACCTGGCTAAGCGGGAGCGAGAGAAGCTTGAGGACCTGGAGGCGGAGCTGGCTGATGAGGAGTTCCTTTTTGGGGACGTGGAGCTGAGCCGGCACGAGCGGCAGGAGCTCAAATATAAGCGGCGAGTGCGGGATCTCGCCCGGGAGTACCGGGCAGCTGGGGAGCAGGAGAAGCTGGAGGCCACCAATCGCTACCACATGCCCAAGGAAACCCGAGGACAGGTGAGGTGAAGCGGCGTCTGCTTCAGCCTTGGTCCCCAAGACAAGTTGTGGGGAAGGCTTCAGGGGATTGGGCAACACGTGGGTCATCCCCTTTCTTGCCTTGCCGTTCCCAATGGGCAGTGGGCGGGGGTAGTAATGGGAAGAGGGGAGAGGGCAGAGAGGACATCCTGTTTTTGAGTCTTCACATATCCCCTCTCTCTGTAGCCAGCCCGAGCTGTGGATCTAGTGGAGGAGGAATCAGGAGCCCCTGGGGAGGAGCAGCGGCGCTGGGAGGAGGCGCGGCTTGGGGCAGCGTCCCTGAAGTTTGGGGCCCGAGATGCTGCCTCTCAGGAGCCCAAGTATCAACTGGTGCTGGAGGAGGAGGAGACCATTGAGTTTGTCCGGGCCACTCAGCTCCAGGGTGATGAGGTAAGAGGGGAGCTGGGAGACTTTCTGAGGAAGACCCGTAGCGAGCTATTTAGCTCACACCTCCTTCTCTTTCCTTAGGAGCCGTCAGCTCCACCCACTTCAACTCAGGCCCAGCAGAAAGAGTCCATCCAGGCCGTCCGCCGCAGCCTCCCGGTGTTCCCATTTCGAGAGGAGCTCCTGGCTGCTATTGCAAATCACCAAGTCCTCATCATTGAAGGCGAGACAGGCTCAGGGAAGACCACCCAGATCCCGCAGTATCTCTTTGAGGAGGTACAGTCATCTCACCCTTCAGCTTGCCAGGGCACCTGGCATCAATGTCCTCATTCCTGTCAGAGCTCCTTTTACATTATATTTTTAGTAGTCACTTACCTATCTTTTCCACTAAATTGTGAAATTCTTGAGAGTAAAGACCATACCCTTTTCACATTTCTGTTCTCACTTCCTGCATTCATTTCATTTGGAAGGACGGGTAGATGGATAGGTGGAGTGGGGCGTGTATAAATGTGGACCTCCCTATGCTCCAACGTGGCCAAAAAACAAGGAGTTAAAGGACTATTTTCCTGCCTTTTTGTTAGTTTTTTTTTTTTTTTTTTGGAGACGGAGTCTTGCTCTGTCACCCAGGCTGGAGTGCAGTGGTGCGATCTTGGCTTACTGCAACCTCTGACTCCTGGGTTCAAGGAATTCTCCTGCGTCAGCCTTCAGAGTAGCTGGAATTACAGGCATGCGCCACCACACCTGGCTAATTTTTTAGTAGAGATGGGGTTTCACCATGTTGGCCAGGCTGCTCTCGAACTCCTGACCTCAAGTGATCCAGCCACCTCAGCCTCCCAAAGTGCTGGGATTACAGGTGTGAGCCACTGTGCCTAGCCCCTGCCTTATTTTGGAGACAGGCTCTTGCTCTGATGCCCAAGCTGGAGTGATGTGGCACCATCATGACTCACTGCAACCTGGGACTCCTGGGCTCAAGAGATCATCCCACCTCAGCCTCCTGAGTATCTGGGAGGTGCACACCACCATGCCCATATTAAACATTTTTTGTTTTTTTTTGAGGTGGAGTCTTGCTCTGTCACCAGGCTGGAGTGCAGTGGCGCGATCTTGACTCACTGCAACCTCCACCTCCTGGGTTCAAGTGATTCTCCTGCCTCAGCCTCCTAAGTAGCTGGGACTACAGGTGCGTACCACCACACCCAGCTAATTTTTGTATTTTTAGTAGAGATGGGGTTTCACCATGTTGGCCAGGATGGTCTCAATCTCCTGACCTCGTGATCTGCCCACCTCAGCCTCCCAAAGTGCTGGAGTTACAGGTGTTAGCCACTGTGCCTGGCCTGAAATTTTTTTTTTTTTTTTTTTGAGACAGAGTCTTGCTCTGTTGCCCAGGCTGGAGTGCGGTGGCATGATCTTGGCTTACTGCAACCTCTGTCTCCCAGGTTCAAGCGACTCTCCTGCCTCAGCCTCCCAAGTAGCTGGAAATACAGGCATGCACCACCATGCTCGGCTAATTTTTTGTATTTTTAGTAGACGGGGTTTCACCATTTTGGCCAGGCTGGTCTCGAACTCCCAACCTCAGGAGATCCGTCTGCCTCGGCCTCCCAAAGTGCTGGAATTGCAGGTGTGAGCCACTGTGCCTGGTCAAAATTTTGAATTTTTAATTTTTTTGTCACACTATGTTGCCCAGGCTGGTCTTGAACTCCTGAGCTCAAGCCATCCTCCCACCTCAGCCTCCCAAAGTACTAGGATTACAGGCATGAGCCACTGTGCCCAGCCTTCCTGCTTTTTTACCTTAGCTGGCTCTGTCTCAGCTAATCTGTTCTTTTCCAGCTCAAGTCTAGCAGAGTCATGAACTTAATTACCCAGAGCTGGGTGAGGACCCCCTTTGAGGGCCCTAGGTCTGTCATCCTATCTATTTGCCCTTCTTTTCTGGTTTTCAGCATCTGTCTTTTCCTCCTTTTCTCCTGCCTGGTTTTTACAACTTCTTTCTCTGAAATGTACCTGGTCCCAGGGTGCATATTTAGTAAAGGGCAAACTTCTTCTTTTTTCTTTGTCATTCAGGGTTATACAAACAAGGGTATGAAGATTGCCTGCACCCAACCCCGGAGAGTGGCTGCCATGAGTGTGGCCGCCCGAGTGGCCCGGGAGATGGGTGTGAAGCTTGGGAATGAGGTGAGATTTCTAGGGAACCGGGGGGTAGAGTCTGGGGTCTGTGACTCAGTCTACAGTTCCCTCAGGTCCCTACAGCAGAAGTCTTGGTGCTGCCCCACTTCACCTTTCCCCAAGTTCCTTTCAGGGCACACCAGCCCACACTTGGTTGCTAATGGTTCCCTTGACCAGGTTGGCTACAGCATCCGCTTTGAGGACTGCACATCAGAGCGAACTGTCCTCCGCTACATGACAGATGGGATGCTTCTCCGGGAGTTCCTCTCTGAGCCTGACCTGGCGAGTTACAGGTATCTCTAATCTCTGGCCTTTCTCTCCCTTCTTCCCACCCAGCCAATTCAGCCATTGTCTTCTGATTAATCCACCCGTTCTTGAATCTTTGTGGTTCAAATGGTCCTTGAACTGACCTCCAGGTACCACGGAGATGGGGCTGGAGGACAGAAGAGATTGTAGAGAAAGCCTCTTCTTTCCCCATTCATCTCCAGGGTTTAGAAAACAACCAGGATAGCAGAGCATTGCTGCCGAGACTTGAAATACCGTGTGAAGACCATTTGAAAACACTTGGAATGCTCAGCTCAGAGGGAGAAACAGGAAGCATCCTGGTTCCCTCTAAATATGTGAAGGCTGTTACATGGAAAGAAGGATCAGATTGTTTTATGTGACCCTACACGACATAGCTAGGAGCCATGGGGAGGTTACAGGGAGACAGATTCCAACTCAATACCAATGGCTGAGTAACCCTCAGAGTGGTGGAGATTGCAGGGCCTGTCAGAGTGGTTGGACTCTGGGTCTTGGCCCTCCACACAAGTCTTGGGTAGCTTGGTCTGTGAATAATGAGCTCTTAGTGCTGGAAATGGCCAAGCAGGGGTTGGTTGAACATGTGTTGAGGGGGAAAAGGGATTCATGAATGTAATGGGGGTGGGGTCAGGCCAGCTGAACAATATGTGCCTTTTTGACTCTTCAGAGGCTGTGAATTTCTGGTCTTGGAAGATCACAGTGGAGCAATTGGACAGATAGGATTTTATCCTTCATATCCCTTGCAAAAGATCTCTAAGAACCCATGGAGAGCCAGCCAGCGCAAGAGTGTCTGATGCAGATGTTTTTGCCCATCGAGCCAGCCTGCTTTGTGGAATGGCTGGGGACTTCACCATCACAGTTAGGGTTAGGCACAAAGAGTTGAGGTCAGGGAGGTGGGTAGGGGAAGATGGGGATGAGTTCCTGGGACTTGGCTGCCACCCAGAAAAGCCAAAGAACAAAGAGAAAGAAGGTGTCATGCACATAACTGAGTTAGGAGGAAACCAAGGAGCATGCAGAGTCCTGTGAGAGTTGAGGTAGAAAGGCTTAACTTGCTCCTGTCTCCAAAAGAAGAAACAGTCAAGAATGATGCCAGCAGCAGTTGTCCCACAGGACACCAGGAGCTTCTAGGCTATTTGAATCACAGCAGCTCAGGTCTATTACCCCCAGTCAGCCTTGCTGGCCCACCCTTATTGAAAGGGACCCTGCCTTCCACTTTTTTTTTCCTTTAAAACGTATCAGCCGGGAGCGGTGGCTCACGCCTGTAATCCCAGCACTTTGGGAGGCAGAGGCAGGCGGATCACGAGGTAAGGAGATCAAGACCATCCTGGCTAACACGGTGAAACCCCGTCTCTACTAAAAAATATAAAAAATTAGCTGGGCGTGGTGGCGGGCACCTGTAGTCCCAGCTACTCAGGAGGCTGAGGCAGGAGAATGGCGTGAACGCAACCCAGGAGGCGGAGCTTGCGGTGAGCCGAGATCGTGCCACTGTACTCCAGCCTGGGCGACAGAGTGAGACTCTGTTTCAAAACTCCGTCTCTACTAAAAATACAAAAAATTAGCCAGGCACAGTGGCAGGCACCTGTAGTCCCAGCTACTTGGGAGGCTGAGGCAGGAGAATGGTGTGAACCCAGGAGGCGGAGCTTGCAGTGAGCTGAGATCATGCCACTACACTCCAGCCTGCAACAGAGCAAGACTGTCTCAAAAAAAAAATCCTTCCACTTTTTCTTTTTTCTTTTTTTAGATGGAGTCTCGCTCTGTCACCCAGGCTGGAGTGCAGTGGCACGATCTTGGCTCACTGCAACCTCTGCCTCCCAGGTTCAAGCGATTCTCCTGCCTCAGCCTCCCAAGTAGCTGGGACTACAGGCGTCTACCACCACATCTGGCTAATTTTTTTTGTATTTTTAGAAGAGACGGGGTTTCACTGTATTGGCCAGACTGGTCTCGAACTCCTGACCTTGTGATCCACCTGCCTCGGCCTCCCAAGGTGCTGGGATTACAGGCGTGAGCTACCACCATGCCCAGCCTAAAACATATCCTTCAACTTTTTCTAGTAAGAGCAGCTGCTGAGTCTAAGCAGACTCTTGACTGAACTAGAGGGTATGGCTAACTTGTCCTGGCCTCAGTGTGCAGCCTCTACATCTTGTCTCCTATTATCTGCTGAGGCTGGGATAGGTTGCAGATCATGGGGCCCTGGCCTTCTCTGACTTTCTGTTGCTCTACATAAGTGGGATGGCTGACTTCTCCTTAGAGCCCCCTCCGTCAACAGTCATTCTTGAACTCTTTGTGTCCATTACTCCCCTCTCATCCAGTTAACCCTGGTGTCTGATAACTGCATTGCCTAGCGCTCTTCCCTCATTGCTCTCCTATTCCCTCCCCAGCGTGGTGATGGTGGATGAGGCACACGAAAGGACCCTACACACAGACATTCTCTTTGGATTGATCAAGGATGTTGCTCGCTTCCGACCTGAGCTCAAGGTCCTGGTGGCTTCAGCCACAATGGACACTGCCCGTTTTTCCACCTTCTTTGATGACGCCCCTGTGTTTCGAATCCCCGGACGCAGGTTTCCTGTGGACATCTTCTACACCAAGGTGCCCCCTCAGGGAGGATGGGCTTAAGTCTGTGGCAGAAAAGCTGAGGCCTTTGGAGAAGGTTATCCTGTGGAGGGAAAGATGGAATGGAAGGTTCAAAGGGGAACTAGGATAAAGTGTATGTTGAATTGGGAGGAGAGGAAAGGTTTGCCTAAGCAGGTGGCCCTCCTGTGACCCCATCTCTTTCTGCTCTCCAGGCTCCAGAGGCTGACTACTTGGAAGCTTGTGTAGTATCTGTGTTGCAGATCCATGTGACCCAGCCCCCTGGGGATATCCTGGTGTTCCTGACAGGACAGGTGCCTGACATGGTGGGGAGAGGGGATGATGTATCCCAGGGGAAGACAGGGCCGGCATGTTGGCCTTCTGTGACTCTGGGACCCCTGCTGCTCTCCCTACCCTCTATCCAGGAGGAGATTGAGGCTGCCTGTGAGATGCTCCAGGATCGCTGCCGCCGCCTGGGCTCCAAAATCCGGGAGCTCCTGGTGCTGCCCATTTATGCCAATCTGCCCTCTGACATGCAGGCCCGTATCTTCCAGCCCACACCACCTGGGGCACGAAAGGTCAGTTGGAGAAACCCACACTCTTCACCCCTATGCTTCCCACAACTAGTAGTGAAAAAGCTGTGTGCCTGCCCCATGCAAGGTGAGTCCTGCGCACTGCTGCACACAGCTGAGGAGCAGCCAGTCCCTTGTTCCTGGGACTGAAGAGAGGAGAAATATGGTGTGAACCAAGAGAGAGCCAAATATGTGATCTGGAAAGTATGCACAGTAGATTCAGTGGAGAAGGGAAGTCCTTGATGTGCTAAGAGGTGGGATTTGATATGGACCTTTAAGAGAAATGTCTGAGGTCAGGTGCGGTGGCTCACGCCTGTAATCCCAGGACTTTCGGAGGCTGAGGTGGGCGGATCACTTGAGGTCAGTAGTTCGAAACCAGGCTGCCTAACGTGGTGAAACCCTGCCTCCACTGAAAATACAAAAATCAGCAGGGCATGGTGGCGTGCGCCTATAATCCCACCTGTTTAGGAGGCTGAGTCATGAGAATCGCTTGAACCCAGGAGGAGGAGGTTGCAGTGAGCTGAGATTGTGCCACTGCACTCCAGCCTGGGTGACAATGCGAGACTCCATCTCAAAAAAGAAAAATGGCTGAGAAGTCATCAGAGGAAGGCCCAAGGTATGTTTGAGGTCAGAGTGTGAGCTAGTAGGCTTAGTGGGAGGTTCATGTGGTGAAGGAGTAGGAGACAAGGCTAAAAACAATTTGGGGCTAAGATTAGGGAGGGCCTTTGATGACAGGAAAGTTTGGACTTTATTTATTTTTCTTTTTTGAGACAGAGTCTCGCTCTGTTGCCCAGGCTGGAGTGCAGTGGCAAGATCTCGGCTCACTGCAGCCTCCACCTCCCAGGCTCAAGTGATTCTTGTGCCTCAGCTTCCCAAGTAGCTGGGATTACAGGTGTGTACCACCACCCCAAGCTAATTTTTTTTTTTTTTTTTTTGAGATGGAGTCTCACTCTGTCGCCCAGGCTGGAGTGCAGTGGCACCAACTCTGCTCACTGCAACCTCTGCCTCACAGGTTCAAGCGATTCTCCTGTCTCAGCCCCCCAGTAGCTGGGATTACAGGTGCCCTCCACCACGCCTGGCCAATTTTTTGTATTTTTAGTAGAGATGAGGTTTCGCTATTTTGGCCAGGTTGGTCTCAAACTCCTGACCTCAGGTGATCTGCCCACCTTGGCCTCCCAAAGTGCTGGGATTATAGGCGTGAGCCACCATGCCTGGCCAACACCCAGCTAATTTTTAGTAGAGATGGGGTTTCGCCATGTTGGCCAGGCTGGTCTTGAACTCCTGGACTCAAGTGATCCGCCTGCCTTGGCCTCTCAAAGTGCTGGGTTACAGGCATGAGCCACTGTGCTTGGCGAAGTTTGGACTTTAGACAGCTGAGTAGCAGTCAAAGGATTTTGAGCAGAGATATAACTTTCATTCAACAAATATTTAATGAGTTCCTTCTGTGTGTCAGGTACACAGGGGTTGATGATACAGTGATGAACAAAACAAAGTCCTTAGCCTAACAAACTTGCACTTGTGGTCTATCGGGGAAGCAGTGGATGCATAAATACATATTGTCAATTTGTGGCCAGTGCTATGAAGAGATACAAGGCAGCATAGTAGGATGGAACTTGACTCTGTGGGGTGGGAGTGAGGACTGGCATGAAGGTATTTTCCTTGGGGTGTAGGGAGGGCCTCTTCAGTAAGGGGAAAGTGGAATAGAGACCCAAACCAGGTGAGGGAGGGAGCCAGGCTGATATCTGGGAGAAGAGTATGCCAGACAGAGGGAATAGCTGATGCAAATGATCCAGTGAGGAGTGCACTTACTTGGGCAGAGCAAAGCAGTGTGTGGGAGGAGTGAGGGAGGTGGTGGAGTGCTAGCAGATGAGGTCAGAAAGGCAGCTGGGGTAGGTGATCCAGGCTTTTAAGGGGCTTGGATTGAATTCTAGAGTAGGATAGGAAGCCACTGAAGGATGGGGAGTGATGTGACAGGTTTGTATTTTAAAAGGACCATCCTGGATGCCATGTGACAGAGGCTAGGAGCAGAAGCAGGGATACACGTTAGGAGGCTCTTACAGGAAGTGTTGTGTGAAGACGAAAGCGGTGATGGGGAGGATCGGGCAGGAACTTGAACACCCCCATTTCCCATCTCTGAAAAAAAAAAAAAACCCTAAATCCTCTTCTCCATTTCCTTTCCTCCTATGGCCCTGCTGACTCCCAGCCCCCACTTCCCTGTCCCCTGTCTTCTGGCCTTGTCCCCTGCTCCTGACCTTGGATACTACTAATTCCCTCAGCTCCTGCCCCTTACTGCAACTGCTTCACTACTCCTAACTTTCCAAGATTACTTTTTCTGGGTAACTAGGTAGGTGGGGTCACTGGGTGACCCCATATCCTATCACTCAGGTGGTTGTGGCAACGAACATTGCTGAGACATCACTCACCATTGAGGGCATCATTTATGTGCTGGATCCAGGGTTCTGTAAGCAGAAGAGCTACAACCCCCGCACAGGCATGGAATCGCTCACTGTCACACCCTGCAGCAAGGTCAGCCTGGGGATGCATGGGAGTGGGGGAGGTGGAGTTGGCCCACAGAGAAGGTCCAACTCAGAAGCAGGGTGGGGGCTTCCTAGGGAACCGGGATGAGCAGTTTGCATCCTTCCAGATTTCTTGCATAAATACTGCCTTTTTCTTTTCCCTGACCAAATTGTCAGCCAGCCTGTTCCCCTTTCTTTCCAGGCCTCAGCCAATCAGCGAGCTGGCAGGGCAGGTCGGGTGGCTGCAGGGAAGTGCTTCCGCCTGTATACCGCCTGGGCCTATCAGCACGAGCTTGAGGAAACCACAGTGCCTGAGATCCAGAGGACCAGCTTGGGCAATGTCGTGTTGCTGCTCAAGAGCTTAGGTGATTGGGCTACCTGAGAGAGGAGGGAGGGGCTGGAGTCACTGTCCTTTGAAGGGACTCTGTTCCATCCATCACACCTCTTTCTAGGGATCCATGACCTAATGCACTTTGATTTCCTGGACCCTCCACCATATGAGACACTGCTGCTGGCTTTGGAGCAGCTGTATGCTCTGGGAGCCCTCAACCACCTTGGGGAGCTCACCACGGTGAGTCGGGGGACAGCATGGGTGGAGGCAGGATGATAGGGGTCAGGATGGCTCCAGGGACCCCTGTAGTAGTAGCGGGAAACCTGAGGGAGGACTGGGCTCAACTCTCTCTCTCTTCTCCTTAGTCTGGTCGAAAGATGGCAGAGCTGCCGGTGGACCCCATGCTGTCCAAAATGATCTTAGCCTCTGAGAAGTAAGCCCTCGCCTCCACCTGGGCCCCCAGCACACAAACAGGCCAGGCCTCCTCTGTCTCCAGGGTCCCCTTTGTCTGTCTTTTTCTGTTCATCATACTATCCCTTAACACATAATAAAGTATTAGATAACTCTGATTGCCCCCTTTTGAGGCCCACAAGGGTAAGACACTTGATCCTATCCTTGATTCCACTGCGCCCGGCCCCTTGAGGAACTTACTTGTTCCTAAGGTTTCCAACTAGAACATTTAGATGTAGCTGTGGAGGGATGACCTTTAAATGCCATTCCTCTGCTGTCAGAGATCTTTTCCAAATGCACATAGTGAATGCACACTTTCTGCAGAAGCCTCAGAATTCCCCGGTGTTTCCTGCTCCTGCCTCCATGGATGTCCCTCCTTTGTGACTGTGTTTCATCTATGGCCCCTACTTCCTTGACCCCCAAGCTGCTGCCAGAATCTATCTGCTGGCTGCTTTGTAGCCATTATGCCAACCAGCCTTCCCCACATGAGGAAACATCCATCACACAGTGATCACTCCCCACTCCACCATATCTGTTCCTATGTGTCTTGCTTTGAACTCATGCTTTCCCCTTCCTGTCCCAGGTACAGCTGTTCAGAGGAGATCCTGACAGTGGCTGCCATGCTCTCTGTCAACAACTCCATCTTCTACCGACCAAAGGACAAGGTCGTCCATGCTGACAATGCCCGTGTCAACTTCTTTCTCCCTGGCGGTGACCACCTGGTTCTGCTAAATGTTTACACACAGGTCACTGGGCTTGGGTGAGTGGGAATGAGAGACACTGGGGGACTTTAGTCCTGCTGTATACTTAATTATCTCTCCTTTCTTTTTAACTGTCTTCCCAGTGGGCTGAGAGTGGTTACTCTTCCCAGTGGTGCTATGAGAACTTTGTACAGTTCAGATCGATGCGCCGAGCCCGGGATGTGCGGGAACAGCTGGAAGGGCTCTTGGAACGTGTGGAAGTTGGTCTCAGTTCCTGCCAGGGGGACTATATCCGTGTACGCAAGGTCAGCATTTCTTCAGCCTCCTGCTTTCCACCCCCAGTACCTTCCCAGGAGCAAGCTTCTCTGGGGGCATGCAGCATTTCCTCCAGCGTGAGAGCATGCCCTCTTCCCCTTGTGTATGACGTGTCCTCCCAGGGCCCTTTCTTCCCCAGACCACTGAAGGTTCATTCCTGGGAAGTTCTTCATGCATTCCTTACCTCTCTAGTTTTCCTGAAGCCTGAACTAAAAAGGTAGTGCATTCTTAGGGTCCCCAGATGTCTGCCTTTTCCATTGATTTTCTTTCCTGCCCGCTCCTTAGGCCATCACTGCTGGTTACTTTTACCACACGGCACGGTTGACTCGGAGTGGCTACCGCACAGTGAAACAGCAGCAGACAGTCTTCATTCATCCCAACTCCTCCCTCTTTGAGCAACAGCCACGCTGGCTGCTCTACCACGAACTTGTCTTGACCACCAAAGAGTTCATGAGACAGGTGAGGAGAACATCCTGTGCCCACGCAGGTGGAGACTATGTAGAGAGATGGTGTCCTGGCAAGCTAAGAACCCAGGTTCAAGTTGCTGGGACTGGTACAGAAAGAGGAAGGTAGGGTAAAATAGAAAGACATCCTTTGTTTTTTTTTGTTTTTTTTGAGACGGAGTCTCACTCTGTTGTCCAGGCTGGAGTGCAGTGGCGCAATCTAGCCTCACTGCAACCTCTGCCTCTGGGGTTCAAGAGATTCTCATGCCTCAGCCTCCCAAGTAGCTGAGATTACAGGCGCAAGCCTCCAGGCCTGGCTAATTTTTGTTATTTTTAGTAGAGATGAGGTTTCACCATGTTGGCCAGGCTGGTCTCAAATGCCTGCCTCGGCCTCCCAAAGTGCAGGGATTACAGGTGTGAGCCACCATGCCCAGCCCAAAGACATCCTTTCTAACAGGTGTGTCAGCATCTTCCAAGATCTGAGAACTAGACACTTATTCAATAAATATTTGAATGGCTACTGTATAGGTGCTGGGGCTATAATGAACAAAGCAGTCTCTGGTCTCACAGAGTATAGTCTTTATGTTCTAGGCTTTTCTTTTTTTTGAGAGAGTTCCGTGCTGTTGTAGCCCAGGCTGGAGTGCAGTGGCACCATCTCAGCTCATGCAACCTCCGCCTTCGGTTTCAAGTGATTCCCCTGCCTCAGCCTCCAGTGTAGCTGGGATTACAGGTGCCCACCACCACGCCCAGCTAATTTTATATTTTTAGTAGAGACTGGGTTTCACCATGTTGGCCAGGCTGATCTCGAACTCCTGACCTCATGATCCGCCTGCCACGGCCTCCCAAAGTGTTGGGATTACAGGTGTGAGCCACTGTGCCTGGCATGTTGTTCTAGACTTTTCTTGGGAATAGCTTATTTGGTATCTTGAATAACATACAGAGGTGTATCTGCCCTTTGGGTATATAATAATAGAGCCAGGCACCTTTACACCTAGCCCTGCAGTCAAAGAGGAAAGATAACTTTTGACCATACACATAAGGATCTAGGTTGGGGCTGGGCATAGTGGCTCATTTTTGTAAACCATCCCAGCACTTTGGGAGGCCAAGGCAGGATCCTAGCACTTTGGGAGGCCAAGATCAGCCCAGGCAACATAGTGAGACCCCAACTATACAAAAAATTAATGGTGCACTGTGATGTGTGCCTGTAGTCTCAGCTACTTGGGAGGCTGAGGCAGTAGGACTGCTTTGAGCCATGATACGCCACTGCAGTCCAGCCTGGGCAATAGAGCAAGACTCTGTTTCAATTTAAGAAAAAAAAATAACAACAACAAAAGATCTATGTTGGAAAGAAGGGAACTCCATTGATCTTTTCTCTCTCCTAGGTACTGGAGATTGAGAGCAGTTGGCTTCTGGAGGTGGCTCCCCATTATTATAAGGCCAAGGAGCTAGAAGATCCCCATGCTAAGAAAATGCCCAAAAAAATAGGCAAAACACGAGAAGAGCTAGGGTAAGAGAAGGACGTAAACAGAACCTGACACCAGCTCCTTTTCCTTCTATACATTATTTAATACCTATTAAATAAAATTATTTTTGGAATAAAGCTTGTGGGAACATTTGGGATCTAGAGAAAGTGATATGTGAAATTCTATCTCATATAGTCAGTTAAACTTTATTATTTACAAGTTAAATTACACAGCAGCTTTACACAGCATGAGATGGAAAGGAAGGAAGGAGAGAAACGAGGAGAGGAAGCTGGCTCCTGAGATTCTTGGCTGCCTCCACCTCCTTCTCTTGGGCGTAGCAGTCTTCAGTGCTGCCTCCACTCCAAGGTCAAGGATCAGGGCTTGGAACACAGGTTTAAGTCAGGTTCTGGCTCTGACAGCCCCAGGGCCACCAGGGCTCCCACTAGCAGCTTCTTCACAGGCGTTGGAGGTGAGTGTGAAGGCATCAGCTGCAGGGAGAAAGGTTAATGCCAGTTGGGGGAGGCACACAAATGTTCTACCCTTTACCCCACCCAGCCCTACCTAGGACTCACTTTATCTAGACGATGGCGACAAATGAGGCCACTGGAATTCAGGTAGAAAGTGGAGTAGGCATCATAGGTCCTGGGGAATAGAGGGAGGCTTACTGAGGGAGAAGGTGACTGGTCCCAAAGCTGAATTCAAGCATTTGTTTAAACGAGTAGTCCCTAAATTCTGCTACATATTAGATCACCTGGGCAACTTACAAACATCTCAGTGCTTAGGTTGTGCCCTGTCTCAATTAAATCAGAGTGTTTGGCGTCAATATTTTTTAACGATCCTTGGGCATTTCTACTGTGCAGCAGTTTGGGAACTGCTGGTTTAAAAACTTATATCCAATGTTTGTGGCTGAGTCTAACAATTTATTGGGATTCTACTCCCAGGCGGAAATTTACCAGGTTGTAAGGCTCAACATATGAGACAGGACTTTTCATTTGTTCAGTACTTTTGTGTGTGTGTGTGTGTGTGTGTGTGTGTGTGTGTGACAGGGTTTCACTCTGTCACCCAGGCTGGAGTCCAGTAATGTGATCACGGCTCACTGCAACCTCAACCTCCCAGGTTGAAGTGATTCTCTCATCTCAGCCTCCCAAGTAGCTGGAACTACAGGTGTGTACCACCACACTGGGCTAATTTTTGTATTTTTTTGGGTTTTACCATGTTGGCCAGGCAGGTCTCCAACTCCTTACCTCAAGTGATCCGCCCACCTCGGCCTCCCAAAGTGCTGGCATTACAGGCATGAGCCACCACACCCAGTCTGTTCAGTAAGTATTTGAGTACCTACCATGTGCTAGGCACTGTATAGGAAGAAACTGAAGCTCAGAGGTTTTTCTAATATACCCAGTCTCTATTTTTTTTTTAACATTAACATAAACTAAACAGGATCCCTGTCCTTAAACAGTCAAGTGAGGATAGGTCAAGGGTTGTCTGGGAGACTAGATCATCTGTAATCTCAGCACTTTGGGAAGCTAAGGCAGGTGGATCACCTAAGGTGAGGAGTTCGAGACCAGCCTGGCCAACATGGTGAAACCCTCTGTCTACTAAAAATACAAAAATTAGCCGGGTGTGATGGTGTGCCTGTAATTCCAGCTACCCAGGAGGCTGAGGCTGGAGAATTGCTGGAAGCCGGGAGGCAGAGGCTGCAGTGAGCTGAGATCACGCCACTGCACTCCATCCTGGGTGACAGAGTGAGACTCCGTCTCAAAAAAAAAAAAAAAAGGAACTGATTATAGTTTGGGTCCTTTCTCATTTCTCTCTTACCGGTAATGCTCGTCTTTGTCACGCTTGTAGAACCGCAAAAAGAGCAAGTGGACGGGCAGCCCCACAAGCCGCCACCGGGCTTGCAGGGTCCAGTTCTCAGGGTGGCGGGTCAGCTGTAAAACCTCCAAACGAAGGTGTGCAAAATAATTCCAGGCCAGGAAACGGCAGAGGGTCAGTGAAAGAATGTACCATGTCCGGCCCCTGTGAAGAAGGGATGGGAAAGAAATCTCATGATGGCAGAATTAGAAAACCAAACTGGCTTCTAAGGAATGGGGAACAGCTGTGAGAAGCAGTCTAGGAACTTCTCTGGGAAGTGAAAAGGGTCATGTATATACCTTTGGGTGCTTTTCCTCCCCAGTGCCCTACCTGTGCCCCAATTCTCACTTGGTACGTATGTTGAGGATCTCATTGATGAATTCCACATCCAAGGAATACAGACTGTAGTCGTGGGACTGAAGGAAGAGCTTGGGAAGCTAGGTGGAAGAAGATGGCATCAACCCAGTGGGAAAGAAAAGATAATCCTATTTTTCAGTTTTCTAATTTTTTTTTTTTTTTGAGACGGAGTCTAGCTCTGTCGCCCAGGCTGGAGTACAGAGGTACAATCTCAGCTCACTGCAACCTCCGCCTCCTAGGTTCAAGCGATTCTCCTGCCTCAGCCTCCCGAGTAGCTGGGATTACAGGCTTGAGATGGAGTCTAGCTCTGTCGCCCAGGCTGGAGTGCAGAGGTACAATCTCGGCTCACTGCAACCTCCGCCTCCCAGGTTCAAGCGATTCTCCTGCCTCAGCCTCCCGAGTAGCTGGGATTACAGGCACCCACCACCATGCCCAGCTAATTTTTGTATTTTTAGTAGAGACGGGGTTTCACTGTGTTGGCCAGGCTGGTCTTGAACTCCTGACCTTGTGATCCGCCTGCCTCGGCCTCCCAAAGTGCTAGGATTATAAGTGTGAGCCATGTGCCAGGCCCAGTTTTCTATTTTTAAGGCCTCCTTACTCCCATCTTGGAGTGAAAGATCTCATCCCATGATTAACCTCCCTTAACCCAAAATGAGGAACATCATTTTCTTTCTTTTTTTTTTTTTTGAGACGGAGTCTCGCTCTGTTGCCTAGGCTGGAGTACAATGGAGATATCTCCTTTCACTGCGCCTCCTGGGTTCAAGCGATTCTCCTGCCTCAGCCTCCTGAGTAGCTGGGATTATAGGCGTCTGCCACCATGCCTGGCTGATTTTTGTGTTTTTAGTAGAGATGGGGTTTCACCATGTTGGCCAGGCTGGTCTTGAACTCCTGACCTCAGGTGATCCACCTGCCTAAGCCTCCCAAAGTGCTGGGATTACAGCACTTTGAGCCACCGTGCCTGGCTGGAACATCATTTTCTCAGGAAAATGTTTATAATATATTTCTATGCCTGCCTCATGGTTCCAAAAAAGAATCCAGTTGACTATCCCTGTACGTCCAAGGATTACCCACATCCTTCCCACTGTAGACGAAGGCCACTTTTGCACTGACTTACCTCTTGTCTCAGTCTCTCATACATGACAGACAGATGTTCCTCCATACTAGGATCTCCTGACGGGGTGGCAGGGGAAGGGTGGGCAGTTCCAGGGACTTGGAAAGGTATCCAAGCCCCAGGATAGGGGCAGGGAGGTCCCTCAAAAAGGCTTCTAAGCCCATCCAGGCAGCCGCTATGCAACTCAGGTCCTGGTCCCTCCTCCCCCTTTCCTGGAGGGAGAACCACCCATGCTGAGCTGAGGGCCTGGATCTGAGGGAGAGGTAGTGGGGGAACCTGGGGAAGACGCTGGGTGGGAAGGCGTGGGGGCAGGGGAGACCAGAATAGAGGAGAAGATGGGGAAGTGGTTGTCGTGGAGTGGGGCCAAAGGGGTGGGAATGGTAGAGTCCCTGGATAAAGCTGGTCCTAAGGAGAAAGAACAGAAGGGAGAAAGATAAGAATCCACTTGTCTAACACCCCTTGATCCCCTGGATGCTCAACAGGCTTCCAATACCTATTCCTCCTGACAGAATGGATGGAATTACTATAGGAAAAAAGGGATGGATTCATCTCCATCTCTACTGAAAACAGGAGGAAACCATTTTATTTTATTATTTATTTTGAGATGGAGTCTCGCTCTGTTGCCAGGCTGGAGTGCAGTAGCACGATCTCAGCTCACTGCAACCTCCGCCTCCCAGGTTCAAGTGATTTTCCTGCCTCAGCCTCCTGAGTAGCTGGGACTACAGGCGCGCGCCACCATGCCCAGCTAGTTTTTGTATTTTTAGTAGAGACAGGATTTCACCATGTTAGCCAGGATGGTTTTCATCTCTTGACCTCGTGATCCACCCGCCTCTGCCTCCTAAAGTGCTGGGATTACAGGCGTGGGCCACCGCGCCCAGCCGAGCAAACTGTTTTATGTGACATAAATACCGGCACCTCCCAAAACCTAGCAGACATTTTACTTTTTTTTCTTTTTTTGAGACGAAGTCTCACCGTCGCCCAGGCTGGAGTGCATTGGCGCGAACTCGGGTCACTGCAACCGCCGCCTCCTGGGTTCAAGCCATTCTCCTGCCTCAGCCTCCCGAGTAGCTGGGATTACAGGCACCCTTCACCACGCCCGGCTAATTTTTGTATTTTTAGTTACAGATGGGGTTTCACCATGTTGGCCAGGCTGTTCTCGAACTCCTGACCTCAGGTAATCCGCCCACCTCGGCCTCCCAAAGTGCTGGGATTACAGGCGTGAGCCACCGTGCCCGGCCCAGTGTTGGAATCTTAAAGAAATGTGGCCGGGCGCGGTGGCTCACGCCTGTAATCCCAGCACTTTGGGAAGCCGAGGCGGGCGGATCACGAGGTCTAGGAGTTCGAGACCAGCCTGGCCAATATGGTGACACCCCATCTCTACTAAAGATACAAAACAATTAGCCGGGTGTGGTGGCGGGAGCCTGTAGTCCCAGCTACTCGGGAGGCTGAGGAAGGAGAATTGCTTGAACCCAGGAGACGGAGATTGCAGTGAGCCGAGATGGTGCCAATGCACTTCAGCCTGGGTGACGGAGCAAGACTCCATTTCAAAAAAAAAAAAAAAAAGATTCCAACACTGGGGGCAGTTTCACCTCTCTTATCGCAAGAATCATGTAATACATACTTGATGAGTTAACGAATAACAGGTTTTATTGTACTGTGGATTAAATGCTGTGGCCTGTACATCTCCATGATTAAGTGTGCGAGGCAAATGTACAGAGAAAAAAGAATATCCAGCTGAAGCTAGGAATCTGAATTCTATCATGTAACTTTAGGCATTCTCATTCCCTATGCCTCCGCTTCCTACAAATGTCCTATAAATGAGAACAATAAAGCCTCACTGGGTTATGAGGCCTATATGAAATAATGAATGTAAACAAAACGTAGCGACCTAGAAAGCAGTACATAAATGGAAGCTATTATCATTTCGGGCCCCTCTAATGACAGACACAACCTCAGGAGACAGTTAAAGGCTGGCCTTCACTCTCCTGGGTTTACCGACGTTGAAACTGCAAGGGGAGGTCACCCAAAGTTAGGCCTCACCCGAGTCCCTCCGCTCCCAAGGAACCCCCCAGGGGATCGTCTCACTGCAGGGAAGGCGGGCGGACCGCTCGGGTACCTCGGTCCCCGATGGTGTCCTAGAGGCGCCGTCTCTGCTGGGGGCGTGGCCATCTTGCCAGCCCGGGCGCAGGGGCCCGAACCGGGTGCACACTGGCCGGCCTTCCTGCCAGGACCGCTCTCCGAGTGCAAGACGGGCGGGCTGCTGAGGGCGCCCCGCGGGTCTGGTCTGGGCCGGGGAACTCCGGGACGGCGCCGCAGCAGGGCTACGAATCTCTCGGCCCCTGCCCTTCAAATCACCTCTAGGCACAGGTAACCGCGGAGAGTCGGGCGCAACGCAGACGCGCCCCGCTGCCTGGCCTTGACCCCGCCTGACCGCCCTCAAACCTGGGAGGACCGACGTCCTTGCGCGACAGGCC
This sequence comes from Homo sapiens, assembly GCF_000001405.40. Taxonomy (NCBI): domain Eukaryota; kingdom Metazoa; phylum Chordata; class Mammalia; order Primates; family Hominidae; genus Homo; species Homo sapiens. The sequence goes on along the minus strand of NT_167249.2, from coordinate 1,948,247 downwards.
CGGCAGCGCCTCCCTCCCGCTCCCGCGACCCCTAGCCTGTCCACGCGCTGCAGGGCACAGGTGGGAAGGGGCGGCGGGTGTCTCTGCGCCTGCGCGGAACCCAGCGCGCGCTCCGCCCCACGCACCGGCTTTGAGGAGGGTCTCTCCCCGCCCCCTCTCCTCCCTCCCTCTTCTCCTCCGCTCACCTGGGGTCGAGCCTGGTAGGCGCGCAGGCAAGGGCCGAGACGCCGGGCCGCACCCCGGCTGGGCTGGTACATGATCTTCCGGGAGTGGAGAAGGAGCCTCCTGAGTCCGACCTCCGGCCTCCTCACAGGGGTGAGCGCGCCCCAGAGCCGGCTTCGTGAAGGGGAAAGGAGGCCGGGGCGGGGGGGTAGGGGGGGAAGGGGCTGAGGGAGGGAAACGGAGATGTCCCGCGCTTGCGCACTGCAGGCTCGAGGGAAGCGGCTGAAGCGCTCTGTCGGCTGTAAGCGCGCCTGCGCCCGCGGGCTCGGAGACTGCCTGAGTGCGCTTGCGCAAGTTACAGCCTCCCCCGCCCCCCCAAGCGCTGTATTCACAGCTGAGGCCTTTGAGCAAAAAGCTGAGCAAAAACAGGGCTGAAGGCTGAATGGGTGCAACGACAGTGAGGGGTGAGGCGGCTGAAATAATGAGTCAAATTTTTCAACAGCTCTTGTGATAAAAATAAATACTTTTATTGGTCTGGTTAAAAGATACAAATGACTTGAATCTGATAAGCCTGCTGAATGAATGAATGAATGAATGTATCCATCTATTATGAGGGTTGGGCTTTGGCTCTTTCCTGTAGTGAGGGAGAAATAATACTTTGAAGATGTTTGACGGGGCTGCGGTCACCAAGGCCTGGTGCTGCGACGTTCCTGCAGGTTTCGAATGAACCTGGCGTTGAGTATGTCCCCACCCACTGTCCAGGACTGGGCTGGCGGGGCCGGGGCCTGTGGAGGAGCTGTGTGCATGGGCTTCTCCCCAGACCCATCCTGTGACAAGGCCTGCTCCTCACTGGCAGACCTGGTAGGTGGGGAGATGGAGAGTGGGTTATAGGAATACTAAAGAGGAAATTAAGATTACAGACTCTTCAAGGTCTCGGGCCAGGTTTTAATGTAGGACACATGATGGGTATGAAGCTGGAACCATTAGTGCTATGTCCAAATTTAAAACCTCTCAGAGAATCCGTATTCCAAAGGGAAGTACCAGAGTTGAACCTGTGGGGGAAAGGGGCTTGCAGGATGTAAGGTAGAAGGAATTGTGGGAGGAGCTGGTGTCCAGTTCATACAATAAGATTTAAGAGTAGGAAGTGACTGAGAATGATGTTAGGAAGGGAGTCAGATGGTGGTGGGAGGCTGTTAGGGGAGGGGTTTAGACCTCACCTATTCTTTGTTTCCTGTTCTCCCTGCTTGGAGTCTTGGTTGCCTGTGGAAATATCAGGCATGTGAATGGGAAGGCAGGAGTAGACAGTGAATGTGGCCTACTTGATTTGAGGGTAGGGAGGAGTGAATACTTACCTGTATTGGGGGATGAGGAATTCACCCCCCCATGGCGGCTGTAGCAGCAGCTTTGGGCTACCAGACCTGGGGGAGTCCCCCTGTAGAAGAAATGGGAGATGATGGGGAGGAGGCTACTGGATGAAAGATGGGTGGGTATGGAGGAATCAGAGGAGAGGAGTAAAAGGAATAGCACAGGAACAAAGAGAAGGGGGTAATTATCATTCCTAACAGGTTTTAATCAAAGCTGTGCCCCAGAAAAGGGCGGGGGAAGTTCATTTTATACCCAAGATTTTCTGGAGTGCTTCTGATTTATTGCTCTATTCTTTCTAGTTGAGGTAATGTGTTAAATCTATGGCTAGGTGTGATCCAAATCATGTCAGAAGAACAGACTCACATGTGGTCAAAAATGTGTTGGATCGGGTACTCTGGTGTTTGGTTTGGAAAACAGGGTTACCTTAACTATAAGATTCCTTAGACCAGGCTGGGCGCGGTGGCTCAGGCTTGTAATCCCAGCACTTTGGGAGGCCAAGACGGGCAGATCACGTGATCAGGAGATCGAGACCAACCTGGCCAACATGGTGAAACCCTGTCTCTACTAAAAATACACAAACTAGCTGGGCACGGTGGTGCACTTCTGTAATCCCAGCTACTTGGGAGGCTAAGGCAGGAGAATCGCTTGAACCCAGGAGGCGGAGGTTGCAGTGAGCTGAGATTGTGCCACTGCACTCCAGCCTGGCGACAGAGCAAGACTCCATCTCAAAAAAAAAAAAAAAGATTCCTTAGACCAGAGGGAAATAGGAAGTGACAAGGCTGAATTTTGAATTTAGGAGGAAAAGGAAGGGGGCCTCTGTAAATAGGGTGACAGACTGTGTTGCACTCTCAATGGAGGTAAGGGTTTGTCTTGAGAGAGATCCAGCGGTTTAGTGGAGCAGACGTCAGGTAATCAGAGTGGGAAGACGAATACAGGAGGCAGGAGGTAATTAGTGGATCCAGAGATGTTGGTAAGCTTTGACATCTTGGCAAAGGCACGCCCAGAGTAAAGGGTAGAAGTCACTGGGGAGAGCTGGAGGTTCCTGGAGGGAATGAGGGAGTAGATACGGAAGCCCACACACAGGGATCCAGCACCTACATGAAAGGAGACACAGAATCTGCAGGAGGACTAACAGTGAAGATGGGGATAGGCAGACACCAGACTCAGGAGCTCTGAGGCTCCTGGGTAAAAGATGTGCAGATCTCAGAAGTGAGAAATGAGAGGGACAGAGGTCCTGAGATCCCAGGAAAATAAGGGATGACGCACAAATGAGGCTGACAACTTTTTTTTTTGTGATTCTTTTTTTCATTGAAAATGTCAATTTAGAAAACACAAAAGATTTCACACTTTATTCAGACAACACTGAGAGAAGAAAAGGGAAGAGTGAGTAGGGGAGATGGGGAGATCCGGCTCCCAAGGATTTCAGGAAACACAGTGGGGCACCTGATCTAGCACACATTCAGAGGGTAGGGAGGGGAAGGGATCTAGCTATACTCTGGGCATGGAGCAGGGAAGGTCGTCCTTGCTATGGAGGAAAGGAGAGAGGAAGGACAGAGGAAGAGTGGTCCCCCATCTCATCTCGACAATCTCACAAGACAGGAGTATATCGGGACCTAGCTACCAGGGAGGGATGGATGCAAGAAGGGATTCCAGGATCTAACAGATCCTTGACACTCTGGATCTACTCTCAAGAAACAACCTCCCTCAGAGAATCTGGATCTGGGGGAAATGGTGGTGTCAGCCAATCTCCTTTAGAGACCCCAAAGCAACACCAGTTTGGGGTTCCCTGACACCTACACAAAATGTGGAAATGAAGAGTTTGGCAATGGTGAGTAGATCCCTTTGGGAAGCTGGTAAGTCCCTGTTCTACCTAACTAGACTGCTCTGAAGCAGAGCTTGCTCACTAGCGGCCATTCGCAGGCTCAAAGGGCAAGTGTGGCAGGCAGCACAAAGCAGTATTAGAGCCACCAGTAGACACTAGAGGGAATATGGGGTTTATCCCATAGATAAAATTCCTTAAAAAGTTTCCCTGGCACAGGATGCCCTTAGACCTTCCATGGTGTTCTAAAGTTTGACAGCAAGCAAGAGTGTGCTTCTCTAGATAAATGTATGAGCCATCTAACCAAGAAGTCTGGCAACAGATCAGACTTCCTGTTGGGAAAGTATTCAGAGCCCAAGTTAGGAGAGAAGGGGTGCTTTTGTGTTAAGAAAAGCTACAAAGTGTTAGGCAGTTTGAGACCCTGACATCCCTGCTGTCTAAGAAAGTAGAAGAGGGAATCCTATGGGCTCTGTCAGGTTCCACTGGGTCCTACAGGATGCAATGGAAGAGTGGGTCTGAGGTTCTCAGGGAGGGGTTCCCTGCCCACCCCAGGTCTCCCAGGGCAGGGAGAGGGTAGCTGTTAGTATCGACTCTCCTCAGAGCGGGGAAGGGAGCTGTGGAAGGATGTTATGGATGGGAGGAAGGGAGATGGGAAATGGCGGGGGGCGGGGGAGAGAAAAACAGAGAAGTCAGAGGTGAAGAGAAAGGGAGAGAAATAAAGGAAATGCCCACTCCCTGCCTGCTGCGATGGACTCTTGGCACACAAGCCAGTGGCTTCCCACTCTCTGTCAGACACTGCCCCTTCCCCAGCAAGTATTAAGCGAAGATTTTCCCAATCTTAGAAGGCTCTGTTCCCCCAACTCGATGGATCTCGGTGTTCTTCCTACCATTCCACATAACTCTCACATTAAAGCCAGGGTCCCTAGGCTCCATATAAGGTCCTATTCTGCTCCTTCACTGCATTTTTTTCCCAGATCACTTGCACAAATATTTTTCTTGAAAGGTTTCAGGACCCCCCCCAAGCCACCCATCTTATTGATCCATCTCTCTGATGGATTCAAATTGCCCTTTGCCATTTCTAACATCCTCTTTTATAGCTGTGAGGCTCCTTAGCCCTTCAACTCCTATTACCTGGTGCGACGACGTTGAGCTGGGCTGCCCCCAGGGTCAGCAGCCAACAGAAGGCGGGCGGTAGGGTGTGGGGGGCAGAGGCGCAAGGAACGCAGCAGCTCCTGCTCTGGCACAAAGGGGCGGAGGGGACCTCGTTCTGGTGAGTTTCCCAGGCTGCTGGAGCGGGGGGGTGGGTGGGCTGGAGGTGTGGCGCGGCGAGGGGCCCTGTTTAGGGGCCAAGGAGGCTCCACAGCTACCTTCAGAACTGGGGACAGGGAGAATGAAGAGCAAGACAGAAAAAGAAGAAAAAAGGAAGAGAGTCATGACAGCAAAGGTTTTGGTAGAAAAAAAGAGAAATCTGAGTCTTTCTTTTTTTTTTTTTTCTTTTTTGAGACGGAGTCTCACTCTGTCACCCAAGCTGGAGTGCAGTGGCACGATCTTGGCTCACTGCAACTTCCGCCTCCTGGGTTCAAGCCATTCTCCTGCCTCAGCCTCCCAAGTAGCTGGGATTACAGGCACGTGCCACCGTGCCCAGCTAATTTTTGTATTTTTAGTAGAGACGGGGTTTCACCATGTTGGCCAGGCTGGTCTTGAACCCCTGGACTCAGGCGATCTGCCTGCCTTAGCCTCTCAAAGTGCTGGGATTACAGGCATGAGCCACCATGCCCAGCCCAAGAAATCTGAGTCTTTAGAGAGAACGAATCCTTTCCCTGGGTCCCCTGAGCATTCTCTTCCCTTGTGTTAAGGTACCCCAGGCCCAGACACCCGACCCTTGCCCCTCTTACATTCTCGGTCACTAGAGGAGTATGGCTTGATGTCTCCCTCTGCTCTCTTGGGTGGCAGCTTCCTTGCTGGAGCTGGCAGTGGAGGGGACATAGGCAGGGTAAGCGTTAGGAGACATACTTTGCACCCCTCCTCCCAGCCACTATACCCCAACCCCAAACCTCTGCTCCCTGACACCACAGTTCCTCCTGAGAACTTGCAGGAGCAGCACCATGGCAATGCCAGCACACCAAAAGGGAATTTGAGGGGAATGTGGAACACTGTTGAGGAAAGCCAGAAGGAGTAGGCCAAACACAGAGCTAGGGAGAAAGATCGAAGGGGAGACTCTGGGGGCCTGGGAGATGCAGGAGAAGGGCAGCCAAGGGAAGTGAGCTCTTACTGTCAGTGGGTGCTGTCATGGCCCCCTGGTATTCTGGGGCAGTGGAATGGTCCCAGCCGGGCCAACGAGGACCCTGGGTTCCTCTGGATGAGATGGACAAAGCCCTTGGTTAATCAGGAATTGCTCTGGAGAGGTCAGGGGAGGTTTGGAAGGAGGGCACAATCTCTCCTTCCTATACGAAAATGGGAAGAGACTGAAGTTTTATTAGGTTAAAAAAAAAAAAGAAAATAAATATGGGCATCTGAAAGGGAGCTATCAGAGTAAGCAGGAGGCTGATGTAATGTCCAAAGTTCAGCCTCCCCCTCCTCACTTCTCTACTTGCTCCCGGCTTTCCCTCTCAAGAGATTCTCCATCATGTATGTGTGGCAAATGAAAGACTTCTCAGCAAATTCACTTAAGCTTTATCCACAGCACCCTCCCCTGCAGGCCTGAGACCTCACCATCCTTGTTGGCCCTCAGTCCCTCTCACAGCCTGTGGTTCTGAACAAGCTAAATGGGAGAAGCCTTGGAAACCAAAGCGAGTTGAGGTGCCTCTCAGTGCCTGACACTGTGATGCTCATAGCTGGTTACAGACTGCTGTTTGGATGGTGGTTACATCCTTTCCTGGCCACAGAGCCAGCTCAGGAAGGGGGCTCTTCTGTGCAAGCAAGCACTGTACAGCTGTCAGAAGTTGGTAAGGTGGAGGTGGTGAGGAAGAGGAAGGAGTGGGGCTCAGACTGTCAGTAAGTGTGTTTGTGTGTGTGTGTGTGTGTGTGTGTGTGTATATGGGATGGGGAATCTGGACAGCATTTTAGTGCCTCTGAGGTTTGGTTTCTCCATATCAATTTCATTATCTGGTTGGAAATGTTATAAACTCTGAGTGTTATCTTCTAAAAGTAACATTTAAATTTTGGGCCATTTGTGTCACTATTCTGTGACTGCAAATGGAAGGGCTGTTTGCACCAGCCTGTCCCTCACTGGCTAACAGAAGCCTGGGGTTTACAAAGGAGCCTGACTCTGGCCTATGTTGACGGACCTGAACTGGCAAGAGGGTCCATTGATATCAGCTGTCAAACAGGCTCCCAATGAGCTTGCTTAGTTAAAAGTCTTGCCAAATATAAAATGCACTGAGCTCCCATGAGGGCAAAGGCAAACAGTCATGACTGCTGGAGACTTGGGTTGCTTTAGAATTTTCCAAAATTGCCCACAGATGGCACTGTACCCCGTGGCATCTAGAGTAAGTAGCCATCACTGCACTACAGTTCCACCCCTTCAATACAGGCTTTACCAGCGGGCGTGGGATCGACTGCAGCAGCACGAGAGTGTCGAGTTGCCCTCAGAGAGGGAGCAGGGGGCCCTGTGAGGAAGGAAGCGGCGGGGCCCCTCAGTGAGGGGTCGGCAGGACCAAGAGTCCAGCTCTTTCCTTTCCCTCACCCCGACTACGTGACCAACAAAATGCAAAAACTTACGATGTTGATGGGCAAAGAAGCCTTCAAAGATCACAAAGTTGTTCACCTGGAAGATGAAACAAACAAAATACAATCATGCATCACTTAACGATGGGGATACATTCTGAGAAATACGTCATTGGGTGATTTCATTGTGTGAACATCACAGAGTGTACTTACACAAACCTAGACACTATAGCCTACAACACACCCAGACTATATCATACAGCCTATTGCTCCTAGGCTACAAACCTGTACAGCATGTTACTGTACTGAATGCTGTAGGCAATTTTTTTTTTTTTTTGAGAGGCAGAGTCTCGCTCTGTTGCCTAGGCTGGAGTGCAGTGGTGCCATCACAGCTCACTGCAGCATCAACCTGGGCTTAAATGATCCTCCCACCTCAGCCTCCCAAGTAGCTAGGACCACAGGTGCATGCCACCACATCTGGCTACTAATTTTTTTTTAACTTTTTGTAGAGATGGGGGTCTCACTATGATGCCCAGGCCAGTCTCAAACTCCAGGGCTCATGTGATCCTTCTGCCTCAGCCTCCAAAAGTCCTGGGATTATAGACGTGAGCCACCATGCTCAGCCAGCTGTAGGCAATTCTAACATAATGGTTCAGCTGATGTATCTAAACATACCTCAACACAGAAAAGGTACAGTAAAGGTCAGGTGCGGTGGCTCACGCCTGTAATCCCAGCACTTTGGGAGGCCGAGGCGGGCGGATCATGAGGTCAGGAGATCGAGACCATCCTGGCTAACATGGTGAAACCCCATCTCTACTAAAAATACAAAAAAATTAGCCGGATGTGGTGGCGGGCGCCTGTAGTCCCAGCTACTCGGGAGGCTGAGGCAGCAGAATGGCGTGAACCCGGGAGGCAGAGCTTGCAGTGAGCTGAGATCGTGCCACTGCACTCCAGCCTGGGCGATGGAGCAAGACTCCGTCTCAAAAAAAAAAAAAAAGAAAGAAAGTGAAAAGACAATCTACAGAATGGGAGAAAATGTTTGCAAGTCATACATCTGATAAGTGCGTTCTATCTAGAATATATGAAAAACTCTCAGAACAAAAAAGAACACAATTTAAGAACAGACAAAGGACTTGTATAAACTTTTCTCTAAAGAAGATACACAAATGGCCAATAAGCACATAAAAAGGTGCTAAAGTCCAGGTTCAGTGGCTCACACCTGTAATCCCAGCACTTTGGGAGGCTGTGGCAGGCATCACTTGAGGTCAGGAGTTCAAGACCGGTCTGGCCAAGATGGTGAAACCCTGTGTCTATTATAAATACAAAAAATTAGCCAGGCATGGCAGTGTGCACCTGTAATCCTAGCTACTTGGGAGGCTGAGGCAGGAGAGTCGCTTGAACCCAGGAGGCGGAGGTTGCAGTGAGCTGAGATCGTGCCACTGCACTCCAGCCTGGGCAAGAGAATGAGACTCCGTCTCAAAGGATAAATAAATAAATAAAAAATTCAGCAGGGTTCCAAGGGGTGGGGAAAGTCAGGGGAAGACATGCTGGAGGCCAGGATGCTACTTTGATAACTAGTAACTATTAATTTTAGAGTTACTTCATTATATTTTCACATTTAATTTGGCCTTCACAATCCTGGAAGTCACTATTTGAAAGAAGGTTGGGGGAAATACAGCCTTGGAGACATGGCTTCGCTTGGCCAATGCCAAGTAGCTACAAGTGGCAGGGCTGGGCCTCAACTTTCAGACTTCTGATTCCAGCTGCAGTGTTTTAGCCAGGAAAATAGTGTAGCCATTAAGAGTTTACTCAAGAGGAGAGCTTGCAGTGAGCCGAGATGGCAACACTGCACTCCAGCCTGGGCGACAGAGAGAGACTCCGTCTCAAAAAAAAAAAAAAAACTCGGGGGCCAGGCGTGGTGGATCACGCCTGTAATCCCAACAATTTGGGAGGCCAAGGCGGGTGGATCACTTGAGGTCAGGAGTTCGAGACCCTGTCTCTACTAAAAATACAAAAATTAGCTGGGTGTGGTGACGTGCGCCTGTAATCCTAGCTACTCAGGAGGCTGAGGCAGGAGAATCCATTGACCCCAGGAGGGAGAGGCTGTAGTGAGCTGAGATTGCACCACTGTACTTCAGCCTGGGTGACAGAGTGAGACTCCATCTCAAAAAAAAAAGTTTAATGGGGGCTGGGCATGGTGGCTCATGTGGATAGCTTGAGCCCAGGAGTTCAAGACCAGCCTGGGCAATATAGCAAGACCTCATCTCTACAAAAATATTTTTAAAAATTAGCCAGGCGTGGGCCGGGCCCAGTGGCTCAAGCCTGTAATCCCAGCACTTTGGGAGGCCGAGGCGGGCCGATCACGAGGTCAGGAGATCGAGACCACCCTGGCTAACACGGTGAAACCCCGTCTCTACTAAAAATACAAAAAATCAGCCAGCCATAGTGGTGGGCGCCTGTAGTCCCAACTACTTGGGAGGTTGAGGTGGGAAGATCTTTTTTGAGATGGAGTCTCGCTCTGTTGCCAGGCTGGACTTCAGTGGCAAGATCTCAGCTCACTGCAACCTCCACCTCCTGAGTTCAAGCGATTCTCCTGCCTCAGCCTCCGGAGCAGCTGGGACTACAGGCATGCGCCACCATGCCCAGCTAATTTTTGTATTTTCAGTAGAGACAGGGTTTCACCATGTTGGCCAGGATGGTCTTGATCTCTTGACCTCGTGATCCGCCCGCCTTGGCCTTCCAAAGTGCTGGGGTTACAGGCGCGAGCCAATGCGTCCGGCCTTTTTTTTTTTTTAACATGGAATCTCACTCTGTTGCCCATGCTGGAGTGCAATGGTGTCATCTCGGCTCCCTGCAACTTCCACCTCCCAGGTTCAAGCTCTTCTCCTGTCTCAGCCTCCTGAGTAGCTGGGATTACAGGCACATGCCACCACGCCCGGCTTATTTTTGTATTTTTAATAGAGATGGGGTTTCGCCATGTTGGCCAGGCTGGTAGGGAAGATCTCTTGAGCCTAGGAGGTAGAGACTGCAGTGAGCCGTGATCGTGCCACTGCACTCCAGCCTAGGCAACAGAGCAAGACCTTGCCTCAAAAAGAAAAAAAAAAAAAAAGTTCACTGGGTGCAAATGGCTATGGGTTCAAATGTGGACTCTACTATTTACTGGCTGTGTGAATTTGGTTAAGTCATTAATTTGTATAAACCCAAAATAGGTTTAATAATAGTACCTACCTCAAAAAGATGTGCAAGAATCCACTGAGATGATGCATATAGATACCACATAGAGCCCATGAAATGTGAATTATTATTTACACTCTATACTGCTCTGGCCTTACATGTTAACTGGGTAATGTGTTTCATATCGAATACTGTGCTCCAGGACCGGGTATGGTGGCTCACGGCTGTAATCGTAGCACTTTGGGAGACCGAGGTGGGCGGATCACTTGAGGTCAGAAGTTCGAGACGTCTGGCCAACATGGTGAAACCTCATCAACACAAAAATTAGCCAGGTGTGGTGGTGGGCGCCTCTAATCCCAGCTACTCAGGAGGCTGAGGCAAGAGAATTGCTTGGACTCAGGAGGCAGAGGTTCCAGTGAGCTGAGATTGTGCCACTGCACTCCAGCCTGGGCGACAGACTGAGACTCCATCTCAAAATACAAACAAACAAACAAAAAAAAACTGTGCTCCTTCCACTGCTCTCTGTTGCCTCTTAATGGAAAAATATACTGTAGGAAGACCCTGCCTATCCCTTGCCTTGACCTTGTTGTAATGTCTACCAGCCCATCCTCATCACCCCCACCCCCCAACAAGCACATGCCCAGCACTCCAACCACACCACACTGCTTGTAGTGTCCTGAAAGGTGGTTTATTTTTATTTATTTATTTATTTTTTTTGAGACAGTGTCTTGCTCTGTCGCCCAGGCTGGAGTGCAGTGGCATGATCTGGGCTCACTGCAAGCTCCGCCTCCTGGGTTCACGCCATTCTCCTGCCTCAGCCTCCTGATTAGCTGGGACTACAGGCGCCTGCCACCACGCCCAGCTAATTTTTTTTGTATTTTTAGTAGAGACGGGGTTTTACCGTGTTAGCCAGGATGGTCTCGATCTCCTGACCTTGTGATCCGCCTACCTTGGCCTCCCAAAGTGCTGGGATTACAGGTGTGAGCCACCACGCCTGGCCTGAAAGGTGGTTTAATACCTTTCTGCCTTTGCTCATGCCTGTTCCTCTACATGAAATGCACTTTAGCCTTTTGTCCACCTGACAAACACTTGCCTTTCAAGATTAGACATGTCATCTTTCTTTACCCAACCCCCAGCCCAAGATAGCACTCAAATCCATGTCCTTATGCCTCCTCTGTAATCACATCTATCAAATCATGTTACAATGGATTAACTGTCCATGTTCCTATCCAAGGCTAACTTGTCAACCAAATCTCAACGCCCCCGCCGCCCATTCAATGACATCACTTCAACAGTTCTCCCCACTTTCTCTGACATAATAATATTTTCTCTCTACTGAATCATTCTAATGCTATTTGTTCTCCCATCTGCAAAAGATCAACTCTTTTGATCCACTTCACTCTCCAGCTCTTGCTCTATTTCTATTCCCATTAAAGCAGGATTTAAAAGAGTAGCTTATTCTTGCTGTGTTCCTAGCTTCTCAGTCTACAAGACCCACTGCATCCAGGCTTCCAAACACCGCTGCACCAAAACTGCTCATTAAGATCACCAATGGCCTAACGCAGATAAATCCAATGGTAACTTCTCAGACCTCTTTGCTCCTTGATCAGCAGCATTTGACCAAGTAAACCATTCCTTCCTCCTGGAAACACTTTCTTCAGTGGCCTTTGAGGTCACCTTACTTTTCAGTTTTCTTTTCTTTTTTTTTTTTTTTGAGATGGAGTTTCGCTTTGTTGCCCAGGCTGGAGTGCAATGGCATGATCTCGGCTTACTGCAACCTCCACCTCCCAGATTCAAGTGATTGTCCTGCCTCAGCCTCCCAAGTAGCTGGGATTACAGGCATGAGCCACCTCGCCTGGCTAATTTTGTATTTTTTGTAGAGATGGGGTTTCACCATGTTGGTCTTGAACTCCTGACCTCAGGTGATCCACCCGACTCGGCCTCCCAAAGTGCTGGGATTACAGGTGTGAGCCACCACACCCGGCCTCAGTTTTCATCTACTTCACTAGTCACTCTGTGGTTGCATTTGCTGGTCTTCTTCTCTTCCTTAACTTCTTTTTGTTGCTGTTAGAACAACTCAGCAAAATAAAATTTGGGTTTATTGTTGCACAATATTGTTTCACACATACATCAAATAGGCCTAAATAAATAAGCAGCCATTTCATAGACAAAAAAGGCAAATAAATGAAACATTTTATCTTTGGCCTTTTTAACCATCTCACACAAACCAACTACTTATGGTACAACTAACTACATACACTAAAGAAGCTACTGGAATGCTCAGAACGAGACTTTTTGTTGTTGTTGTTGTTTTTGAGATGTAGTCTCGCTCTGTTGCCCAGGCTGGAGTGCAGTGGCACAATCTTGGCTCACTGCAAGCTCTGCCTCCCGGGTTCACGCCATTCTCCTGCCTCAGCCTCCCAAGTAGCTGGGACTACAGGCTCCCGCCACCACGCCTGGCTAATTTTTTGTATTTTTAGTAGACAGGGGGTTTCACCATGTTAGCCAGGATGGTCTCGATCTTCTGACCTCGTGATCCACCCACCTCGGCCTCCCAAAGTGCTGGGATTACAGGCGCGAGCCACCGCGCCCAGGCTTTTTTTTTTTTTTTAAACAAGGTTTTTTTTTTTTTTTTTTTTCCTCCTTTGAGATTATAATGAATATGGTCACACCACAAGTAAAGTCAGAAGTAAGACAGAGAACCCTCCAAAGGCTGGCTTGGTCATCTGAGATCATTAAAAATGACTGAACCTGGCTGGGCGCCGGTGGCTCACGCCTGTAATTCGAGCACTTTGGGAGGCCGAGGTAGGTGGATCACAAGGTCAGGAGATAGAAACCATCCTGGCCAACCTGGTGAAAGCCTGTCTCTGCTAAAAATACAAAAATTAGCTGGGTGTGGTGGCGGGCGCCTGTAATCCCAGCTACTCAGGAGGCTGAGGCAGGAGAATCACTTGAACCCAGGAGGTGGAGCTTGCGGTGAGCCAAGATCGCACCACTGCACTTGAGCCTGGCGACAGAGCTAGACTCCGTCTCAAAGAAAAAAAAAATGACCCTAACAATATGTACAAAAATATAAAATGTAAATAAAAAATACAAACAAACTTCCTTTTTAAAGTACTTTTAAAAGAGCAAGACCTTGGAAGTTTTGGTTCTTTTTTCCTCCTCTGTTGCAAATTCTCTGGTTTGGGTTGGGTGGTGGTGAGTGCCTGTCATCTGCAGTGGCACTGTCTGTGGAGGGCAAGCAGGCCTCTCGAGGGCAACCATGTTTAGATTCTGAGATGGGAAGTGGAGGGTGAATAGGTCACGGTGGCCTTAATTTAAAGTTTAACTTTTCTTTTTTTGCTGTCTAATCATCCTCACTGGCCTTCTGCTGCTTGGTATCAACATCGTCATCTTCATCATCATCAGCTGCCCATTTGTCCATACCGCCTCAGCTGCTTCGTTTTCATCTCCGTTCTTTTCTTCACCATCACCTTCCTCTTCCTTCTCCTCTTTCTCCCCACCCTGTTCCTCTTCTTCATCTACCTCGTTGTCAGCCTCCTGCTCCCCATTTTCCTCATTAGCGTTCCCGTTAGCATGGGCGTCTCTTCCACTTTCTGCCTCCTCCACAACTTCTCCTTGAAGTCCTTGGTGGTGATCACGGAGCTTGTGTCCACAACTGCCTCTGACATGGTGGGGCACAGCGGTGATCCGATGCAAGGGATTAAGAAGAAAGTGAGAGTTTGGGGACTATGTCGATTAAGCTGCCAGACTCTGAGGCAGCAGAGGAAGTGCATGGCGGAGGTGGCTGTGGTGAGCAGGACACCGAACCAGGAACAATGCAAAGATGGCTTTTCAGAGCAGCCAGTTGGGGGTCCTCACTTCTTAAAGAGGGCCCAAAGGGGCAGCTTCTCTATCTATAATCTTTCTATGGTGATCGCATCCTGTCTGTTGGCTTTAGATACCAGATGTATGCTGAAAACTCTCCTCCCCAAACCTCCTCCCTGATCTCCAGGGAAGTATCCAACTGTCTACTCAAACCTGGACATATCACAGACATCTCCAATTAACATATTAAAAATGTACTCCTAGTATTTCCCCCAAAGCTGGTCTACCTACCATCTCAGTTAAAGCAACTTCATTCTTCCAGCTGCTCAGGCTTTGGCATTGTCCTAAAGTCCTCTTTCTCCACATACAATCTGTCAGGAAATCTTACTTGCTTTACCTTCAAAATATTTAAAATTTGACCACTCTTTACCATCACTACTGCTACCACCTTGGTCTGAGCCACCACCATTTTTCGCCAGGATTGTTGCTGCCTAATTAGTCTACTTGCTTCTACTCTGGCTCCCTTATTGCCGTTTCCATTTTTTTTTTTTTTTTTGATATGGGGTCTTACTCTGTCACCAGGCTAGAGTGCAGTGCAGTGGCACAATCTCAGCTCACTGCAACCTCTACCTCCCTGATTCAAGCAATTCCCCTGCCTCAGTCTCCCGAGTAGCTGGGATTACAGGCGAGCACCACCACACCTGGCTAATTTTTTTTTCTATTTTTAGTAGAGATGGGGTTTCACCATGTTAGCCAGACTGGTCTTGAAGTCCTCAGGCAATCCACCTGCCTCGGCCTCCCAAAGTGCTAGGATTACAGGTGTGAGCCACTGTGCCCGGCTATTGCCTGTTCTTAACAGCCAAAGTGATCTTGTTAAAAAGGAAAAAATCAAGATCACAGCCAAAATGATCTTTTTCTTTTTTCTTTGATGGAGTCTCGTTCTGTTATCCAGGCTGGAGTGCAGTAGTGCGATCTCAGCTCACTGCAACCTCTGCCTCCCAGGTTCAAGCGATTCTTCTATCTCAGCCTCCCAAGTAGCTGGGGCTACAGGTGCCCGCCACCACACCCGGCTAATTTTTGTATTTTTAGTAGAGATGGGGTTTCACCATATGGCCAGGCTGGTCTCGAACTCCTGACCTTGTGATCCACCTGCCTGGGCCTCCCAAAATGCTGGGATTACAGGAATGAGATACCACACCTGGCGCTATTTTTTTTTTTTTTTTTTTTTAAGAAGGAGTCTTGCTCTGTCGCCCAGGCAGGAGTGCAGTGGTACAATTTCAGCGGCTCACTGCAACCTCCGCCTCCCGGTTCTAGTGATTCTCCTGCCTCAGACTCCCAAACAGCTGGGATTACAGGCACCTGCCATCACACCCAGCTAATTTTGGTATTTTCAGTAGAGACCTCAGGTGATCCACCTACCTCGGCCTCCCAAAGTGCTGGGATTACAGGTGTGAGTCGCCACCCCTGGCCTGATCTTATTTTTTACTTAAAATAAAAGCCAGTCTTTGCAGTAGCCTATAAGGCCCCTCCTCCGCATTACCTCTCTGGTCTCATCTCCTACCATACTCCTCCGCTGACTCATGCTGCTCTGGACACAGCCAATTTGCTCTTTCAGGCACACTCCCACCTCACGGCCATACACTGGTGGTACCTTCTGTCTGGGATGCTCTCTCTCCAGATATTTCTTGGCTCTTACTCTTTTTTTTTGTTTGTTTGTTTTGAGACAGTCTCACGTTGTTACCCAGGCTGCAGTGCAGTGGTACCATCTCGGCTCACTGCAGCTTCGACCTCCTGGGCTTAAGCAATCCTCCTGCCTCAGACCCCCAAGTAGCTGGGACCACAGGTGCGTGCCACTACACCTGGCTAATTTTTGTGTTTTTTGTAGAGATGGGGTTTCACCATGTTGCCTAGGCTAGTCTCGAACTCCTGGGCTCAAGTGATCCACCCACCTCGGCCTCCCTAAGTACTAGGATTGCAGATGTAAGTCACCACGCCCAGCCTTGGTTTTTATTCTTTTTTTTTGAGATGGAGTCTCGCTCTGTCACCCAGGCTGGAGTGCAGTGGCGCGATCTCGGCTCACTGCAAGCTCTGCCTCCCGGGTTCACGCCATTCTCCTGCCTCAGCCTCCCGAGTAGCTGGGACTACAGGCACCCAGCTAATTTTTTTGTATTTTTTTTAGTGGAGACAGGGTTTCACCATGTTAGCCAGGATGGTCTAGATCTCCTGACCTCGTGATCCGCGCGCCTCGGCCTCCCAAAGTGCTGGGATTACAGGCATGAGCCACCGTGCCCGGCCAGTTTTTACTCTTACTTCCTTTCAGTTATTGCTCAAATGACACTTTCTCAGTGATGATCCCCTTTCAACCTGCAATCCCACATACTCCCATCCCCACCTTACTTGAGTACTCCCAAACCCTTACTTGCTCTCATTTTTCCAGAGCACTTATTAACCATATTGTTTATTATGTTTGTTTGTCTCTCCAGCTAGAATATAAGCTCCACCACTAAGACAGGGACTTTTGTCTGTTCCCTTCTTTTTCTGTTTTTTTTTTTTGTTCCGAGACAAGAGTCTCGCTTCGTCCCCCAGGGTGGAGTGCTGTAGCAGGACCTCGGCTCACTGTAACCTCTGCCTCCGGGGTTCAAGCAATTCTCCTGCCTCAGCCTCCCGAGTAGCTGGGATTACAGGCGCACGCCATCATGCCCAGTTAATTTTTATATTTTTAGTAGAGACAGGGTTTCACTATGTTCCACATGCTGATCTCGAACTCCTGATATCAGGTGATCCTCCTGCCTTGGCCTCCCAAAGTGTGGGGATTACAGGCATGAGCCACCATGCCTGGCCCTTTTTCTTTTTCTTTTTTGAGATGGAGTCCTCACTCTGTCGCTCAGGCTGGAGTGCAGTGGTGCAATCTTGGTTCACTGCAACCTCTGCCTCCCGGGTTCAAGTGATTCTCCTGCCTCAGCCTCCTGGGTAGCTGGGATTACAGGTACCCACCATCATGCCCCGCTAATTTTTGTATTTTTAATAGAGACGGGGTTTTACCATGTTGACCAGGCTGGTCTCAAACTCCTGACCTCAAGTGATTCGCCCACGTCAGCCTCCCAAAGTGCTGGGATTACGGGCATGGGCCACCGCACCGCACCTGGCCTTTTTTTCTGTTTTTGTTTTCATTTTTGGAGACAGGGTCTCTCTCTGTTGCCCAGGCTATAATGCAGTGGCGCGATCTTGGCTCACTGCAACCTCTGCCTCCCAGGCTCAAGCGATTCTCCCATTTCAGCCTCCCAAGTAGCTGGGACTACAGGCTCGTGCCACCACGCCTGGCTAATTTTTTTTTGTATTTTTTGTAGAGACAGAGTTTCGCTATGTTGCCCAGGCTGTTGTCTGTTTCATTGAGTAAACCATTCCTAGTGCCCAGAACACTGCCAGGCACTCAATGTTTATTGGATGAATGGGTAGCATTAGTAACATTTTGCTGCACTTAGTTATAAACAAGACTTCCTTCCCTATATTAGGCCAAAGCTCCATGAGGACAGGGAATGCATATTATTCTGGACCCTTAATAAATACTGACTGACCAGATGAGTAATGAACTATGTGAAAACAAGGAGGTGAAAATGAGCTGGCTATGTTTGGGTTGAAAATTAGTCATAAGGGGTCGGGCACGGTGGCTCACGCCTGTAATCCCAGCACTTTGGGAGGCCGAGGCGGGCAGATCACAAGGTCAGGAGATCTAGACCATCCTGGCTAACACGGTGAAACCCCATCTCTACTAAAAATACAAAAAATTAGCTGGGTATGGTGGTGGGCACCTGTAGTCCCAGCTACTCGGGAGGCTGAGGCAGGAGAATGCCGTGAACCTGGGAGGCGGAGCTTGCAGTGAGCTGAGATCGTGCCACTGCACTCCAGCCTGGGTGACAGAGCGACTCTGTCTCAAAAAAAAATTAGGCATAAGGGTTGTGTGCGGTGGCTCACACCTGTAATCCCAGCACTTTTGGGAGGCTGAGGTGGGCACATCACTTGAGGCCATGAGTTCAGGACCAGTCTGTCCAACATGGTGAAACTCCATCTCTACTAAAAATACAAAAATTAGCTGGGCATGATGGTGCATGCCTGTAATCCCTACTACTCAGGAGGCTGAGGCACAAGAATCACTTGAACCCCGGAGGCAGAGGTTGCAGTGAGCTGTGATCGTGCCACTGCAATCCAGCCTGGACGATGGAGCAAGGCTACATCTCACAAAAAAAAAAAAAAAGAAAAATTAGGTGTAGGAAACAACTTGTGGTAAAGAATCAAAATAAGTCTGGGTACAGTGGCTCACGCCTATAATCCCAGCACTTTGGGAGGCTGAGGCAGGTGGATCTCTTGAGCCAGGAGTTCAAGACCACCCAGTGCAACATAGTGAGACCTCATCTCTACAAAAAATAAAAAATTAGCCAGGCATGGTGGTGCATGCCTGTAGTCTCAGCTACTCAGGAGGCTAAGGGAGGAGTATCGCTTGAGCCCAGAAGGTTGGGCTGCAGTGAGCCAAGATCCTGCCATAGCACTCCAGCTTGGGCAACAGCAGGAGACTTTGCTTTGAAAAAAAAAAAAAAAAAGTCAGATGCGGTGGCTCACACCTGTAATCCCAGCATTTTGGGAGGCCAAGGCGGGCAGATCACAAGGTCAGGAGTTTGAGACCAGCCTGGCCAGTATGGTGTAACTCCGTCTCCACTAAAGATATAAAAATTAGCTGGGTGTGGTGGTGGGTGCCTGTAGTCCCAGCTACTCAGGAGGCTGAAGCAGGAGAATCGCTTGAAACCAGGAAGTGGAGGTTGCAGTGAGCTGAGATTGCGCCACTGTACTCCAGCCTGGGCAGCATGGCGAGACTCCATCTCAAAAAAAAAAATCAAAATAGATGAGAAAGAAGTCACTACAGGATGAGAGATGGTACCACAAGAGAAAGAAAGAGCCTGGTTGTAGAAAATGAAACCTATGTGATAGGAAATAAGTCACTACTTCTTTGCCATAAATAACAAATAAATTCAATGGGAATGCTCAGTGGGGATCTATTCTCTGAAACCTCTAACCTGTGGGACTGTGGTCTCCAGATTGTAGTGCTTATTCAGGAATTTCAGCAGCTTCTGTGAGGGTCGGTCAATTGCCAGTTGGTGCGGTTCCACTCGCTCCTTCTGCAGGGAAAAGGAGACTCAGGGTAGGAGGAAGTATGGGGAAAGCATGCCAACAGGAAGCCAGAAGCCTGGGAAGGGAATAGAATGACATGGGAACATGGGGGGTGGGAGGCAGGGCTTCTGGAAGGGCTCAGGGCAAAGGAGCCCCTAGTTTGGATGAACCAGTGAAGAGGTCAGTGATACCTGCAACATATACTGGAAGAGTTCTCGCCCATGGCCATGGCGTTGCACAGACTCATGGATGTAAAAGTCCAGGATGCAAAGTGGTTCTACCTCATTATGAGCCTCACGATCATCCTAAGAGAGAAACAATAAAAATGTTTTAGGAACCCCGGCATCTCTGCTGCCCCCTAACCTCCAGCACTTTTGTTCTCAGAAACCAAGGTATACGAACTCCTAGCATCCAATAACACTCACCAGTACAAAGAGCTTCTTGTATCCAACTTTGATGAAACCAATAATGGCTCCTTTTCCAGCCCTGTAGGACAGGGAAAATAATGAACAGGCTAGTGGTATCTATCTGCAAGAGATAGTCAAAGATGGGGGAAGGGCTGAGGAAGGAAGGAATTAAGTATGGGATGGAAGAGCATGTGGCACTCACGGTCGGGCTGAACTGTCTTTGAGAATATAAACAACATGGCGGTTACTCTGCATCCTTGATGCACTAGTGATAGGAGCGGAAAGATTCTGGGCCTGCAGGGAAGATTAAGTCAGACTTTCTGCAAGTCTCTCCGAAGGACCCAGGCCTCCCTTATATACCATCCCCACAGAGGTCCTCCCTTTACTCCATCTAAAAACTCTCCAGTACCTTGGCAGAAGCCTTGCCCAGTTCATCTATAATGGTCATAATTTGCTGCTGTAGATCAACACTAGAGAAAGAGAAGAAATAAAGAGTCAGATACTCACTAAATTAGCGGGTCCTAGGCAGTCAGTCCTGGGAACCTGGGCCACAACTCCAACCCAGGTTTAACACTGAAGGCTCCCTGCCTTTGCCTGGGAGTCTTCCAATCTGATTTCCCACCCCACCCTTCTGAAACCCAAACTTCTGTCACACCTTTCAAGGTGGCACACTCCCTCCTCCCTTAAGGTTATTGTGAGGAAGCAGAAAGGCCAGGTCAACCACATCCTTTGATTGGGACATTTTGGGCCCGGGGTGAAAGGTCACAGATCCAAGCGCTGATCAATCCCACTAGGCCCAGGGTCAGAGGTCACCAAAAAGGCAGGCCTGGACATCAAAAGGGGCGATCACTAGTCAGTGAGAAGGGGGCGTGGTGCCTGGACCAGGTTTGGAGAGGAACCGGGAGAAAAGGGCCAGAGGGTGGGTTTGAGCTGTCACCGGGCCGGCGTTGTGGTTCCGGGTCGGCGGGCTGGGGGCCTCAGGTGCTGGTCCAGCACCGTGATCCGCTCCGGGAACAGCGCGTCCACATCGAACGGGAACTCCATGGCCCATTGTGCGCGGTCGGACCCGCCCCACACGACGTCACTTCCGCCCCTCCTCTCGCCGCACCGCCTCTCGGAGTCTTTATTTCCAGGAGCCCCGCCTGTAGACCTTGCCCCCTAGCGTCCTGGCAACTGACAGGGCCCCCGTTTTTCTTGCCAAACCAGCTGTGCCCCTAGCAGTGCCACTCCTTTCCATCCCTGCATCCCACGGCAGTGAGTGCCATGGCAACGTAGTCTTCCTTGGCCCAGTGTCTCACTGTCCAACCTTTTATCCCCTCAGTGAACAGTGGGCCATGCTGTGGAGTGGGGGCCCACAAGGCATCTTGACAGAGTGGCACAGCTGCCCATCCCCGGCTTCTAGTCCCAGGCGTCACAGGCAAGGCTGGCTTAAGCCTGACCACTTATCTCCCCACAGCATCACCCAATTGCTTATATGAAAAGACCATCACTCAGCCCACCCCCCGCTAATGGCATTCATCGGAAACAGCCCAAAGCAAACCAGAGACAGTAGAGCTTTATTGTGTAAAAGCTGAGTTGGTAGAAGTATGAAACGGCAACAATGTTTAGCCCAGCCCATCTATTTACAATATATAGGGGTTGGGGTTTCCCATACACATCTGTACCACCCGCCCTCAGCCTCAAGATTTATCCCTATCAGCAACATTCATTTCCTGGATTTGTCACTGGCCACAAAAGACACAACTCTTCAGGGTGATATCCCATCACATAAACCTACATACACATTATCTCCTAGTCCCTCTAGCTCTCTTCCCAGTCTTTTTTTTTTTTTTTGAGACAGGGTCTAGCTGTCACCCAGGCTGGAGTGCAGGGGTGTGACTGCAACTCACTGCAACCTCCGCCTCCTGGGATCAAGTGATCCTACCTTAGCCTCCCCAATAGTTGAGACTACAGGTGTGCACCACCACACCCAGCTAATTTTTGTATTTTTTGGTAAAGACGAGGTTTCACCATGGTGCCCAGGCTGGTCTCAAACTCCTGGGATCAAGTGATCAGCCCACCTTGGCTTCCCAAAGTGCTGGGATTACAGGAGTGAGCCACCACGCCTGGCCTCTCTTCCCAGTCTACAGCTCCTACAGAGCACTCTGAGGGCCTGTCTGCCCAGTGGAGGAGGCTTCCGCTGGTGTTCTAGGGGGCATCTTGGGCATTGACTCAGGTGGGGGGCCACTCTCTTCTTGGAGATGACCCTGGTAAAGCCGGCGAAGGCGAGACAGTTCTCTCTCCGGTGGCTGTTTCCAGTTGTACCATGGGTACCAGGGGTCACCTGAGACCAGGGTGGGGGCTGGCGGAGTAGCACTCACAGCCCCATGAGAGGTACTGAAGTCAAGGTCCCGTGGTTCAACCTGGGGGATGTGGTAAATGAGGAGACCTAAGGGATTAAAAAAGAAAAGAAATTTAAGAGGCAATGAGGAGGGTGGTTTAGATGAAGTAAGAAAAAGGATTATAAAGGGAAGGACCAGTCAGAGCCACCAGGTACATTTATGCATGTTGTATACTGCAAACAGGTGACCGGCCCAGAGGGCAAGTGTGGGCTGACATACTGCTGGGGCTCTTGCTTACAAAGCTGTGCAGTGCTGAACAAGGACTATGAAGCTGCATCTGCCCTAGCAGAGGGGTATACTTTTTACTAACTTATGCAGCAGTGCCATGTAGTCCAGGGCCAGACATTTATATAAAGAACTTCCTAAGGCATTGAGACCAGCAGTTGTAAAATAGGAGGGAAAAGGATGGAAAGACAAAGAACAAGGAGACAGGACAATGATAAAGTAAGACACTCAGGAGAAAGGACAGGGGACAATGTAACGTCAGGAAGAACATGCTGGGTGCTACCATCTTGAACAGGTGTGAGCATTTATATCCATTTTCTAGCCCTAAGTCATCTTCCTTATACCTAAACAAAACTGCTGTGTGCCCCGTCTCATGCTCACCATGATCCCTGGCTTTCTGGATGGCCTGGGTCAACCGCTTGTGCTGCTTCACACAGACTCCTGTGGGGAGAAAAATATCTTGTTCTTTAAGGCACAGTAAATAATAGAACACAACTGCTTCCATATGGTGACAGAGGGGTAGATTGGGAAGGATTGGCTTTACCTAATGACCCCTTTCCCCTGACCCCTCCATGGACCTCAGTTTCCCCATCTGCCCAAAGGAAAGAATCTCCCCCATCTTTTGGAGAGCTGGGATAAAGATTTAGGAGGGTCTAGCCACTATAGAGAAGCCATTTAATGGTAAAACCTCCAAGACAGGGAGAACACAATTTAATGGGCAAGTGTGGTTAATTAGAGGGTTGAGTTGAACAATCCACAAAGATTCAATAAAGGGAAAAGAGATTTCAGAGTTGGGGAAGGCAATCTGAGAGAGTAACAATAATAGTCCCTTCAGCCTTTACAGCTTGACTATAAGAAACTCTTGACAAACTGAACACTGATTGTACTGCCACCCCCAACAATGGTGAATTCAGATTATTCTCTGCAAGGCCAGGCACGGTGGCTCATGCCTATAATCCCAGCATTTTGGGAGGCTTAGGTGGGAGGATCACTTGAGGTCAGGAGTTCAAGACCAGACTGGCCAAAATGGTGAAACCCTGTCTCTACTAAAAATACAAAAAAAATTAGCCAGGCACAGTGGCACGTGCCTGTAATCCCAGCTACTTGGGAGGCTGAGGCAGGAGAACTGCTTGAACCCAGGAGGTGGAGACGGCAGTGAGCCAAGATCATGCCACTGCACTCCAGCCTTGGGTGACAGAGTAAATGAGATTTCATCCCCCCACCCACACCCCCCCAAAAAAAACAAAAACAAAGATTAGTCTCTGCCGGGCACGGTGGCTCATGCCTGTCATCCCAGCACTTTGGAAGGCCAAGGCAGCTGGATCACCTGAGATCCGGAGTTCGAGACCAGCCTGACCAACATGGAGAAACCCCATCTCTATTTGCCGGACATGGTGGCATGTGCCTGCAATCCCAGCTACTCAGGGGGCTGAGGCAGGAGAATCACTTGAACTTGGGAGGCAGAGGTTGTGGTGAGGCAAGATTGCACCATTGCACTCCAGCCTGGGCAACAAGAGTGAAACTTCGTCTCAAAAAAAAAAAACAACAAAAAATTATTCTCTGCAAATTTGTCTTGCTTCAGAGCAGGGGTTAGCAAAATTTTTCTGTCTAGAGTCATATAGTAAATATTTTAAACTCTGCAGGTCCTGTGGTCTCTGTCTCAGCTACTCAACTCTGCCATTGTAGCATGGAAGCAATTGCAGAAAATATGAAAACAAATGGACGTGACAGTGGGCCAGATTTGCCCTGTGACTGTAGTTAGGGAATAAATATAATTCTGAATTGTTAAATTTACGATTCCAAGTTTGGAAAATCTAATCCAATTGACAATGATATAAAATAACTTATGTGACAATTTGTGAGAAGTCTTTTGTAAAAGTTAAAAGACCCTATAGAAAGGAATTAATCACTGTTTATCAATTAAAAACTACATTTAGATAGTTTGCTTACAGAAGTACTTGTTTTTTTCTTTTTCCTTTTTTTTTTTTGAGATGGAGCTTCACTTGATGCCCAGGCTGGAGTGCAATGGCGCAATGTTGGCTCACCACAACCTGTGCCTCCTGGGTTCAAGCGACTCTCCTGCCTCCGCCTCCTGAGTAGCTGGGATTACAGGCATGCATCACCACAGGGTTTCTCCATGTTGGTCAGGCTGGTCTCGAACTCCCAACCTCAGGTGATCCAGCCGCCTCGGCCTCCCAAAGTGCTGGGATTACAGGCATGAGCCACCACGCCTGGCTGTATTTGTTGTTTTCTTTTGTCCACATTTAATTACTTTAGCCCCCAGCAAGCCAAGATTTCCAAAAGGTTCAGCCAGACCTTTTAGGCTATAAGCAGGAGCCACTGAACAAATACCTATTGGCCAACTACATAAACAAGGCATGCCACAAGGAAAAGCTCTCTGGTGGTGCAGGGATGATGGGCTAACCTGTGTATGGAGCATAGAAGATGATACCCGTGTGGGCGCAGACAAATTGCTCCAAGAGCTTCACGTTCTGTGGGGGAAAGTGGTAGAGAAACGTGAGGAAAAGAGGCAGGGAGAGCAGCAGGATCTTTGGACATCGAAAGTACACAATCCCTACACACCCACATGGACCACCTTCACCCCTCTACAGCTCTCCAGATGCCATCCTCCTTCATGTCCCAGTTTGGCTTCATCAATTCACTGAATCCATCCTTGCACATCCCATATTCTGTCACTGTGCTCCCATAGAAATCTCTTATGCAGAGGTTAAGTTCTTTTTTTTTTTTTTTTTTTTTTTTTTGAGACAGAGTCTCCCTGTGTTGCCCAGGCTGGAGTGCAGTGGCGCGATCTCAGCTCACCACAACCTCCGCCTCCCAGGTTCAAGCAATTCTCTGCCTTAGCCTCCCGAGTAGCTGGGGTTACAGGCGCCTGCCACCACACCTGGCTAATTATTTTGTATCTTTAGTAGAGATGCGGTTTCACCATCTTGGCCAAGCTGGCCTTGAACTCCTGACCTAGTGATACACCCACCTTGGCCTCAGAAAGTGCTGGGATTACAGGCATGAGCCACCGCGCCTGGGCTGCAGAGGTTAAGTTCTAACGTCAGCCTTTAGGTGAAAAACTGGGGCTGGTCATTGGAAATCCCAGAAATCACCCAAAAAATGATATTGTAATGTGTATGTATAAACAACTAATGTATTTAATAGTATGCTGAATATAATTTATATACTAAGAATAATTTTACAATTTACATAGAACTCTCTCTCAGCAAATTAACTAGGAAATGAGACTCTTGAAAAAAAAGCAGGTACATTGTAGAGTAGAATGCAAGCAGAATCACCCATGCTACTAAATTTGTAACATTTCTCTCTCTCAGTTATGTAATTAATTATAATCTCTGTTTTGTTTTGTTTTTGAGACGGAGTCTCGCTCTGCTGCTCAGGCTGGAGTGCAGTGGTGCAATCTTGGTTCACTGTAACCTCCATCTCCCAGGTTCCAGTGATTCTCCTGCCTCAGCCTCCTGAGAAGCTGGGACTACAGGCGCCCGCCATCACACCCAGCTAATTTTTTTTGTATTTTTAGTAGAGACGGCGTTTCACCTTGTTGGCCAGGCTGGTCTCAAACTCCTGACCTCAAGTGATCCACTCACCTTGGCCTCCCAAAGTGCTGGGATTACAAGCATGAGCCACCGCACCTGGCCATAATCTCTTTTTATAACCAATTATATGCAATTGAAACTGGGAAATTATCTATGGGACTCCTAAATAACCTGTGTTAGAAGGGTTCTTATTGCAGTCAAATACCCCCATTTTCTGACTGTTATCCAAATGCTCTACTACTTCCCTGATGATCAGCCATATAGCTTCTGCTCTAATACTTTTGCTGCAAGCTCAGAAGAACACTTTCCCATTATCTGTTTTATTGATATAATGTTTTCAAATTCTTTTTGTTTTGTTTTTCTTTGAGGAGTTTCACTCTTTCGCCCAGGCTGGAGTGCAGTGGTGCAATCTCAGCTCACTGCAACCTCCGCCTCCCGGGTTCAAGCAATTCTCCTGCCTCAGCCTCCCAAGTAGCTGGGATTATAGGCGCCTGCCACCATGCCTGGCTAATTTTTGTATTTTTAGTAGAGACAGGGTTTCACCACGTTGGCCAGGCTGGTCTCAAACTCCTGACCTCAGGTGAAGCACCTGCCTGGGCCTCCCAAAGTGCTAGCATTACAGGCATGGGCCGCCGCACCCAGCCAATATGTTTTCAAATTCTTTAAGGAGCAAATCCTGTCCTTCTCACATATTGAAGGCTTTTTGAAAAATAATGGACTCTATCTTGCTTCATATACCTGCCCTCCAGCCCCAGGTGCCAGCATGGCACTGAACATTGACAAGGAAATAAAGAAAACCTCAGGAAGAAAGTGGGCCAATATATTTGGTAATAACTGTAATGAATACAAACGAATCTTTGGATATTGGCTCTCCCACTAGAAATAGCCATTTCGCTGGCTGGGTGTGGTGGCTCACACCTGTAATCCCAGCATTTTGGGAGGCCGAGGCGGGTGGGTCACAAGGTCAGGAGTTTGAGACCAGCCTGGCCAATATGGTGAAACTCTGTCTCTACTAAAAATACAAAAAATAGCTGGGCTTGGTGGCACAAGCCTGTAGTTACAGCTACTTGGGAGGCTGAGGCGGGAGAATCGCTTGAACCCAGAAGGCGGAGGTTGCAGTGAGCTGAGATCACGCCACTGCACTCCAGCCTTGGCAACAGAGTAAGACTCCGTCTCAAAAAAAAAAAACAGCCATTTCTCTTACCTGCCAATTTAGACTGTAAATTTCATAGGCATAGGATAAAACTTTCAGTACAATCCATAGTAGAAGGTAAAAGGCTGGAGGGATGTTTTTATAATGCCAGAAACAGTTACTATAAAACGGACTGTAGGGCCTCCTGGATATACGAAGTGTGGGGCACCTACAGTAATCTCTTTGGCACTGCAAAGGGGCTCCTAATCTTTATTTTTCTTTTTAATTTTTTTTATTTTATTTTATTTTTTTTTTGAGACGGAGTCTCACTCTGTCGCCCAGGCTAGAGTGCGGTGATGCGATCTCAGCTCACCGCAAGCTCTGCCTCCCGGGTTCACGCCATTCTCCTGCCTCAGCCTCCTGAGTAGCTGGGACTACAGGCGCCCGCCACCACAACCGGCTAATTTTTTGTATTTTTAGTAGAGACGGGGTTTCACCGTGTTAGCCAGGATGGTCTTGATCTCCTGACCTCATGATCCACCTGCCTTGGCCTCCCAAAGTGCTGGGATTACAGGCGTGAGCCACCGCGCCCAGCCCCTAATCTTTATTTTTCTTACCCTAAAAAGAAAAGACTCTCCTTACCCTAAAGTCAACATGCAACTTGTGATCTCGACAGATGGGGCAGGGATTCCCAACAACTTTATTCCGACGCTGTAGAGAGAAAAAAAACAGCAGTTAAGGATGTTCAAACACGTCAGAAAAAGTGCTGCTGTTACTGTTACTTGTGGCCTCCCCGCACTCCACATCCCACTCTCAGAAACTCACAATACATGTCTTCCGAGTCCGCTGTGGGGGTACACCACCCTTGTGGTTGCGGCGGTAGTCAGCCCAGACGGGGCGAGAACCATATCGCTCCTGGTATTCTGAAATGAAAGATCATACAAGTTATTCCTGGGTGGGAGTGTAGTGGGTGGCTCTGTCCACTTATCTCAAATCCTATCTGACCCTCCCTTTCCCCCTTTAGAGGTACCTTCTGATTCCAGATATTTCCAGGGCTCATCCTTATAAGGAGAAATGGGAACTGAGGACAAAGAATCTTCCTCAGAGGGAGCTTTGGTGCAAAGAGTCTGGAGGGGAACCTACAAAGGAGAAGAAAAAAATAAAAGAATGAGTTTAAGGAAAGGACTAAATTGTTTTGCTTATCACACTTTGGAAAGGAGGAATGCACACATACTGCATTAATGGAATATAACAGGAATGCATATGTAAGTTAAGTATTTTTGTTGGGTTTAAATTGACATAAATCAACAACCACTCTCCTTTTCTACAATTGGATCCTGAAAGAAAAGCTAAGTTAGGGGATATATGCCTAAAAAACAATCTTATTTCAGAAGACAAATAAAAAGTCTAGTACAAGGCCGGGCGCAGTGGCTCACGTCTGTAATCCCAGCACTTTGGGAGGCCCAGGCAGGCGGATCATGAGGTCAAGACATCGAGACCATCCTGGCCAACATGGTGAAACCTTATCTCTACTAAAAATACAAAAATTAGTTCGGCGTGGTGGCATGCGCCTGTAGTCCCAGCTACTCGGGAGGCTGAGGCAAGAGAATCACTTGAACCCGGGAGGCGGAGGTTGCAGTGAGCCAAGATTGCGCCACTACACTCCAACCTGGCAACAGAGTGAGATTTCGTGTAAAGAAAAAAGAAAAAAAAATCTAGTACATAAAAGGTATTCTTGCTTTTTGGAAATAAATTGACTCTGGTGGAAGAATAAAGTAAGAGGAAGGATATCTAGGTTCTTGGAACTAAGATGTGTGGTGGGGAGGGGATGCAGAAGACAGGTGAGTCTCCAAATCAATCCAATGAAGTCACTGAGTTGCCCATTTTCATAAAAGCTGAAGGTCAACATTCTACAGGGCAGAACAAACTTGAGTCCTAACGCTAGTTTTAAAGCTACCAAGGCTGTTATTATTTCTGTGTTGACCTCTGTCACCACTCTTCAGTCCCACTTTAGGGAGTGGCAGCTGGGCAAGCCTTCCTATCTCACCGTGCCCCACCAAGAACCTCCAGAGAGGTGAGTACACAAGACTGGAGGGAAACCTCAATTCAAAGGACGGAGTTAAGCTCTCATAACTCCGATAAGAAACTGATTTAATAAAGAGAGCTGAGAAACTGTCCTCAGGTCGTAAGAATATATCCTGACCTTATTGAGAAATAGCAAGGTTGGTAGAAATTGGGATCCCTAATTTCCCCAAGGACATTCCAGAGCAACACAGATTTAGTCACCACTTGCATAGTTAACAGCTGGTTGTGGCGCTCGCTTGGGGAGTACATATGTTATGCTAAAATTGCAACGATACAGAGATTAGCATGGCCCCTTAATTAGTTAAATAATTTTTAAAAAGCTGGTTATGCATGACTGAGGGTGGACAGGGGTCAATTCCATCACTTAAGTTATTTTACTGAAATGGCATTTTGGAAAAAGGATGATACCTAACCCTGGCGTTTAGTCCTCGGCTCGGGATTAGAAAATGCGCGGGGTGTGGGGGGGGGGTTGCAGGAAGTACTGCCTAGACAGCTAAGACACACGTGGGAAGGTCTCCACTCGTGGATTCCTGACAGTGGAGCGACAACCTCGAGAAGGTATAACCAACTTGAGGTTGTGCAAAATGTCTTTCGAAGAGTTACCTGAACTCTGTGAGAACCTCGGAAGAGAGATAGCATAGGAAGCCGCCTCAGCACGGTGTTTAATACAGACGCCGCCATCTTGACGTACGCCCAGGACAGGAATTGACGGAAAGGCAACTGCGCATGCTTCAGGAAACTGAGTAGGGCAGGGCCAAGGACAAGCCCGCAGTGCGGAAGGCGGCCCCACGTTTGCGTCAGGACGGAAGCGTGAAAGGGAAGGCATGGGGGAGAAGCTAATTTCAACTGCGTCACAATCGAATTAGACCCCAAAATTGCGGTTTTTTTTGGCCAGTCACTACGACTCTTAGATCGCATTGTTAAAGTTTGCCTTTTAAGCAATTTTGAAGGCGATTTTTAGCGGTATCCTCTCAGTGCGCATGCGCTCTTAGGTTTCTACCAATCCTGGGTGAGAAATGTTCTCCAGGGCGGAAGTGGCGGAAGCAGAGGAAAGGGAGGTGCTAGGCTCCTGGTCACGCGCACGCGACAGGGAGGCAGGAAGGAGGCGGAAGAGAGTGCCAGGGAAAGGGGCGGAGCAAAGGTGAAGTGAGAGTAGCCAATCAGTTGGCGAGTTGTCATTTGGGTTGACCAATGAGTTCACGCCTCGCGTATAATGTCTCGCGACAAGGGCGTTTCACTAGCACGTTTGGGCGCGTTGGGCGGCGTCCGGGTATAAAAGACTCCACCCGAGCGGGCGGCCGCCATTCTGGGGTTCGTTTAGAGGTAAGTTTGCCTACTTTGTCGTCTAGTGGGTAAAATTTTGCGGAGAGCGTTGGATCTGGGAAGCGGGATAGGGATGGATGGGTTCATTTGAGAGCCACGGCTTAAAGCGGTTGCGATCAGGATGGGACACAGGTTTGTTTGGGGACAACAAAGATGGCATTTGTGAGTGTTTTGAAGCAACCCGTACTGATTACATCTTTCTCCCTTGTGTTCCTTTTATCCCAGGTTTGAATTTTCTCGGAGAAAGACAGGCCGGCCACGAGGAAAACAGAAACAAGCCGCAGCAACATCTAAGCCCTTGAAAGGATCCTGAGAGAGGGGGGAAAGGGAAAACAGCAGCCACCAGCCCAACCACTTGTGTCTTCTGCCCCTTCCCACCTATCTTGCCCACCCCACCAGCCCACGCTGCTTGGGACTTGAAATCTGTGGCCGAAGGACCGTCACTACATAACTTCAAAAATAATCAACCACCCTCCCTTCCCAAACCACCCAAATTCACTCATCCAGCGTTTACTTTTTTGAATCCACTCAGAACTTTTTTCTGCGACCCCCCTCCCTAAATGGAGTTGGGTGGGGGGGAAATGAATACTGAGTTGGCCTTTATTTTTTAAAAGACTTTTTGATCCAATGAGGCCCCCTAAATAATTGAGTTTTGGGTCCTGGTTGGTTGTTTTATTTTTTTTCCTCCAAAATTTTACCCCCTCCCCCCTGAGCCCGAGGTGCTGACGTCGCAAAAAAATTGGATAGTAAGTGTCGAATTTTCAAAAACCAGCCTTGCAACAAGAAATCAACGTTTCCCGTTGTGAAACCAAAAATAATGAGAGGAAGAAATGAGACCATAGAACAAATAGAGAACTGGAGAAGGACCAATCTGGTCACTTAATCTCCATTAAAAAGGGCCTGTGGGTCTAAACAGTCTTGTTCTCTCTCCCCTACCACCTATCTCTTCCCTGCCTTGCTGCAGGCAAAGAGAGGGTGGAGGGAGGGCCAGCAAGTGAGGATTTTGATGGTTAACCCTTGGTAATCCAGCCAATTTCCAGACTGCCAAAGCCATATGTGTTTATATAAGGAGGAATGGTTACCTTCCTCTGGTTAGCAGCAGTCTTCAAAAGGGTTAATGAGCTCACATACAAGAGATGGTGGATCTTGTGGCCCAGAAGTACCACTTCTTTGTGTGTGAGACAAGCAGGGTGCCTTTCAATTTGCCAGATTAATAAGCAATCTGTACATAAAGATTGCAGGGTAAGGAGATGGGCAGAGAGAAGTAATAGCTCGCTATAACTTTTTAAATGACTGTTAAATCCTCTCAATTTTAATGTAATTTGCTTGGGGTATATTTGTGTGGTTAAAATAGGTGGCAATCTAGGAATAAAGATTGCAAGACACTTAGGACAAAATATAATCTTAGTGCCAGTACATACAAGATAATAGTTGGGGAGGTAAAGAATGTCTTATAATTGTTGCAGATTGCATAGGTATTTAAAAGCAAAAGAGTGATTAACATTTTAACTTGATATTTTTTGGTGGGGGAGGTACAGTTAAATAGAGGGTGGAAAGGTTGGGAAATGTGGAATTTAGGAGTATAATTTTAAAAGCCATTTAGTGCAATTGAATGCTAGCTTTCTAAAAGATTTGTGTCGTTAAAAGGAATTTTTTTCTTCCCTGCTTCAATATGGCGACTTTCCTTGTCCTTTTGTCTTCCAAGCGGCGTTGCAGGTTGTGTCTTGACCCATTTTTTTTCCTGTCCTCCCACCTCAACCCTATTTGTTGAGAGGGGTCCAAGTCCTTCCTCCCCCTTTCCCTCTATAGGGAGGATGGGGGTGGTCGATGGTAGCCGGTTGAACCTCCGTTGCAAATTCAGTTCTTCCCTGCAGAAAATTGTTCTTTTTAATATTTTAATTGCTTTAATTTTCACTACGCTCTTACTGATCAAAATAGGTCAAAGATTATTCACGATGGGGAACTGGTTTTTGATTTTTTTTTTTTTTTTTTTTACTAAAAAGGTGTTTTATAATGTAACTGAAGCTACCGGCAGAGCCGGGTGGCTTTTTAGTTTAAGTCCTCTTTCTCCATTACAAAATGGCGTCCCTCCGTCTTTGTTGTTTTTCTCCCCCTTTTGCCATCCTGAGCTTAGGGCCGCCCTAGAAACTTGGTCAAGTGGGAGGAGCAGCCTTGAAAGGTGATGTAATCAGCTTTCTTCCTCCTCTCTCCACCCTCTTGAAGCTCCACCCCTGAGCAGATGCTTTTGCACTGCCTGTGCTCGTTGCTGCTAGGGAGAAGACATTTTCCTTATTTTCATTATATAAAATATCTTAAAGGGATAGGAGCTTATAGGAATTAAGTATCAAGGCTGTCCATCTCTGTGTAGTTCTAGTTTTTATAGAACCAGTTTTTATTTTCACTTTCCTTCACTCATCACAACTGCTTGTAATTTTTCCCCACTTCAGCTGCCAGGGGTGAAAAAACAGGCAAACCTAAGACTGGGAAGCTTTGAGGATGTGTGTGAGCGTGTGTGTATGTATATATGTGTGTAGAGGGAGATGGGAAAGACACAAGGGCTTGCAAGAGTAACTTGGAGATAAACGGGCCTAATGACACTGAAGTGTGCCATTTCTGCTTAGGAACCAGTGGGCCTCCTGCATTTGGTCGCTTTGTGTAATGAGAATCGGGGGAAGGTGGGTACTTTTAGGACTTTCTTCTAAATCGCCCTCATTCCCACCTCTCAGTTTGGGGATAAACTGTATTCAGTGCTGTATCACGTTCTGCACTTGATTAGTTCCTGTACATTGGTACTAGGATAAGAAGTGAATCTTTAGGAAAGGAGGCGGCAGTTGTAAACTCAAGGCAGGGGGAATCAAGCTACGGTTTCTGGTAAGCAAAACCTTTCTGGTATTACATTTCACAACTTTCATTTTTTTTTTTTCCCCAAAGAGCCACCTTTTTTGAATTTCTTTTTCCTTCCCTTCTAAAAGAAATTCCTAAAAGCATTAATGAAAAAATGATGTCCTCTTCATTTTTCAACTCATGCAGTGCTGTGGCATTTGGTGCATGTTCAGAAGCCATGCCCTATCTGAGGGTGGTATTGGGTGTCTGGTTCCTTTCTTCCCCCAAATTTTTCAAAGTCAAATCTTTATCAGACTCTCCATATAATTTTAATTTTTAAAAGTCCTGCACTGAAGCGTGGAGGTTCTAGGCAGAATTGGAAAGTATAACTGCCCTCTGGTGACCTGGGTGAGACTTAGGGCTAACTTCCTACTGGGTACAGATTCTCAAATTATTACTTAAGCTTCTGGATTGGATGGGAGGGACTCTTCACATGTCTGTTGACTACAAGCTTTTTTTGTTTTGTTTTGTTTTTTTCTTTTAAGCAGTTTGCCATGTGCCTCTGCAGCATATCTTCCTTGGGAGCTGAACATTCTACCCACTGGGGTTCCTGATCTCTAGTGAGCCAGGGGATTAATAAAGAAGATCTTCCTTAACATGGGAGATGGGAAGCCAGGTCTACTAGGGGAACCACATCCATTCAGAAAATCTTGGAAAACCTGATCCTTGTAGTTTGTGGCCAGAGTTCTAGTCTGGGGTCTTTTTCTATGAGTCAGGGTGGTATATCATTTTGCATCTTTATTGGAAGGCAGATAAGCTTTTGAGGAGCTCATGTATCAGGTTTGCAAAATGACTGAGGGGTAGGGGCTTACTACTTGGAAGAAAGCTATGACCTTGTGATGAATCACCTGAGAGACATAATTCAGTCCACTATTGTGTCAAACTAGGAAGTGCCTAAAACACTGAAGAAAGGAAGGGGAACATAAGGGGTTAGGTACAAATCATTTTCATTTCCAGAAGTGCCTCTAAATTAAGGTAAATTTGGGACTTTTTTCTCCTTTTGTTAGAAGACAGTTATTTTTTAAAGAGCTCTGACTTGCACAGAATTTTTATCCTGAACCAATTCAGTCCTGTTTCATTGGTGATGGGTGTGGAATAACTTTAGCTATGCTGGATATTTTTTCACCCTATTTAATTGAATAACCCTCAAGTAAAATTCATTTTGAAGGCAGGAGTTGGTGTCACAGACGTTTATCTCTGGTAAAAATGGTAGAAAATTCCCCAATGCCTTGTGCCAGTAGAGTATGGCTCTGCCTGAAACATTCTCCATAAGGAACGCATAGCTTAGGATGAGGTGGAGGTAGGCCAGGGGGTTGCTACCTCACTCCCCACCTTCTGTATGTTCTGCAGTCAAGAAAATAGCAGCTCATTAAAAGAAGACATAATCATGCCGTGGATTACTTGTGGTTCCAGAAAGCTTTCTTAAGCTTTCATTCTAGACTCCAGATCTTGAGTAGGTAATGTTACAACACTTAGTCACAGCCCCTGCCTGCCTTCATCAACTCAGTTTGCCTTCTCTGCTGTAGCCCTGTGCCCGAAATGTTGGACTTTACATTCCTTTCCACTTGAGCGCCTTGGAAATTGTTTGGTTTTTTTCCAAAATATACTGACTTCAAAGCAAGGAAACTAGGTTATAAGACACTTGGGGTCCTTAATTTTAAATAAGAACTAATCTTCCTGAAGGAAGGCCATCATGAGAAAACCCACTTACATTTTATCAAGATTGGTGCTCATGAGACAAAATTTCACTTATATTTCCAAAATATAAGTAGTGGAAAATGAATATTTAACGCTAATTTTGCTTTGTCTCTTAGCTTCCCTTTGACTATTAATGTCTTTTATTCTTGTTTATACATGTGGGAATAAAAAAGTCCCTGGATCCCATTTCCAGCAGAGGGCACTGGACAGAATTTAGCTTTGTACTCATTGGTCCATTTTTCTAAGACTGGCTCTTCTTTCTTGTCTCCCATCCTCTTAAGGAACACTTGAGCTCAGATGACAGTTTATTTAGTGTCTGAAGGAAATAGGGGTAGTAGGTCTATTTATTGGCTTAGCTTGTAGTTGGATATGCAAAAAGGAATTCTCCAGGGTTATATATATTCAACTCTGGGTTTGAATCAGTCAAGGGTAACTGGTTTGAAATGATGTTTAATTCAAGGCCTTTTGTCAAATTGCATATATTTTGCTTTAGGAATCTAATGGTAGGTATGTGTGTATATATAGAGAGAGGGAGTTTTAAAAATTTCTTAGTCTCTTGATTGCTTATGATATGTTGTTATTGGAACCCATACATTGCTTTTCCAGTCTCCAACAGATGTGATATCTGTTTTATGTGTCCCTTTATCGTATCTCTTTATAGTTTCTATAGATCACTTTATAGTATCTCACTACATGGGAAGAATACCTTTATTTCTGTGTCTGTCTCTGTGTGTGTAGGAATCACCACACTTGAGTGGATTTGGCCCACGGACATCTAATCTTTTCCAGTATTCTCCTTGAATGTTTTTTCTCTGACCTCAGGTTCCACTTGTATTTGTGGAGGTTCCAGGGCAGCAGCGACTTCTCAACATTTCTTGCCTCATCTCTCCCTCTGTTCAGCCCACAGGTTATGATCTCCAGAGCCAAGATTATACTCCTACCCTTCCTGGCTGCCTCCTCCCTGCTTCTGCTGCTGCTCGCCTAGGTTGTTAGGACCTACACATTTGGAAACTTACTGACGTTTTTGTTGGGAGGACAAAAAGGCTGAGATTGTTATGCTATGTTTTTTCTTTTGTTTGAGAACAAGTAGAACTAATTTGCATTATCTTACAAGAAACCTGTGTTTTTTCCGGCACAAAACTACTCATCTTTGTAAAATACTGATTTTTCTACCCTTCTGCTGGGATTGTGTCTGTTACTTCTGTGCTAGATGTAGGATGAGGAAGGTTTTGTTCTTGCCTCTTCCTTGCTACTCAGTGTGGGCCTTATTGCCCAAAGGCAGATATTGCTGAAGTGGCTTTCTTTTTTGGTGGTTTTTTGTTTGTTTGTTTTTGAGGCAGCGTCTTACTCTGTCTCTCAGGCTGGAGTGCAGTGGCACAATCACAGCTCATTGTAGCCTCAGTATCCCTGGGCTCAAGCAGTCCTCCCGTTTTCCCACGTCAGCCTCCCGGGTAGCTGGGACTACAGGTGCACACCATCACACTCGACTTATGTTTTGTAGAGATGAGGTTTCGCCATGTTGCCAAGGCTGGTTTCAAACTCCTGCGCTCAAGGAATCTGCCCACCTTGGCCTCCCAAAGTGCTGGGATTACAGGCATGAGCCACTGCACCCAGCCTCTTTTTTGGGTCTTAGAAGCAAGTATTTAGAGGCAGTGTAGATAAAAATCCCAATCAGAACCATATTGATCCTAAATTACCTTTCTGGAACTTCAGTTCTGGCTTGTCCCTTCCATAAAAGGAGCTTAGCTTTTAACTAATTCCCTTCCCAACCTGGTCTAAAACAGCTGCTTAAAAGGGAATTTTTCTAGCATTTGGCTTTATCTGTTCCCTTTTTAGGTTCCATGGTTTTCAGTTTTAGGCTTTCCTAGGGGATCTTGTACAGCGTGATTTTTGAGGAGAGGACCAGATTCGCATCTTTGCTTTTGAAAGCACAAACCACTAGCTTCCTTTTAACTTAGAGACAGTAAAAACTTGTGTAGTGTTTGGCTAATGAGTGACAGTCTATTCAAGGTCTAGGAGGACCTGCTTGATTTCCATGCATCCATTTGTCTCAATCTCTGGCACCTACTCCCAGATCTCCTTAGAGAGGGATTCTGTTTTCAAGTTTTGTTTTGTTCTCCATCATCTACCACTTCAGCTGATACATATCTTGCCATGTGTAGTGATTATGACTCTTAATGGGCTAAGATAAAAAGGACTCAAGTCTTATAAGACATTTAGCTCAAACACCCAAGATTGGCCCAATTTCTATCAAGCTATAGGCTGTTTTTCAAGCCAAATTTATCAGCAACTAGGGAAGACAGGACTTAACGATAGGTGTAAATGCCCTGGAGAGTTGAACATCTTGTTATGGGAACTGATCTTAGCTTTAATACGATCTAGTGAAGTTCAGCCATCCTAGGAAGGATGCTGCTGGGAGGGAGGGACAGGTGTGCTGCCCTACTCCTCCAATCGAATTGCTTTCCTGTTCAGTCACATATGCTCCCCATGCTTAACTTGCCAGGGCTATTTTCTCAGTAGTGGCAAGTGGTCTGTGTCGATTTTTCATATCTAAAAAATAGCATAGTTGAATAATTAGTCATTATACTTTGTCAAATATAGAGATGTGGTTTATTAGAGGGCCTACTCGGGTAGTCCTTGCCACCCATTTATTCTGTGGGTTTGTTTGTTTTGTCCTCTTACCATAGAAACCACCATCATGGGTTCGGGTCCCATAGACCCCAAAGAACTTCTCAAGGGCCTGGACAGCTTCCTTAACCGAGATGGGGAAGTCAAAAGTGTGGATGGGATTTCCAAGATCTTCAGGTGAGTCTTTACCCCTTTTTGTATTCACTGTGAGTAGAGAATATTGTGTGTTAAAACATGGCTGCAGTTGAGGCACACTGGAATGATCCTGGAAAGGAAAGGGAAAGATAGTCAGTGCAATAGGATTAAAATGTAACAATTTTAGGATAAGGGATAGGAAAAGATGATCACTTGTTTCTGACCATAATGGAAACTGGAGATTTGGACGTCCACGGTCCCAAGGGAGTCATGCTTTGGAATGAGAGCAGGGTAGCCTGGTAACAGAATTCTAGATTGTTTTGGTTCGTGTTCCACCTACCCATAATGTTATTTTCCTTCAGGGATTCTCAGGTTTTTCAGGGGAGAGTAAATAACTAAGCCAGTCTTGAACAGACTATTAGGGACAGTTGTTGAGGGATAGCCTTATCACCTGGAGGCAGAATGGAATTCATCCTGTGTGTTACGGAGGCAGCGATGCTCTCCTCCCCAGGTCAGAGACTGCGGTGTCTCTGTTCTCCCATAAGTTTCCATGTCACACTGGATCCATCCCATCTTCCTAGAGGTATATGTGACTCCCCTTCTCTGGAGCAAAGTCCCAAGTCATTAGGAATCTCTAGGCAGTTCACAGAGAGGCGCTTTTGCTAAGAGAAGAGATACTGGCTGCTTCATTTCTAACCCTAACTCATCTTCTGCAGTTTGATGAAGGAAGCACGAAAGATGGTGAGTCGATGCACTTACTTGAACATTCTCCTGCAGACCCGTTCACCAGAAATATTGGTCAAGTAAGTGGGGATCTGGATGGTTGGAATGGGAAGGTGTAGCGAAAAGATGGGGCGGTGAGGCATGGGGTTCCTGGGTCATTGATGGGAGACTGGGATTGTAGGATGTGGTACTGTCAAAACCTAGAAAGGGCATTACTGATAGACTCTCCTGCCTGCCTGCAGATTTATTGACGTTGGCGGCTACAAACTTCTTAACAATTGGCTGACGTATTCAAAGACAACCAACAACATTCCCCTCCTCCAGCAAATTCTACTGACCCTGCAGCATCTACCGCTCACTGTAGACCATCTCAAGCAGGTACCTTTAGTCTTTAAACCCTGATTCTTCCTTTTTTGGTTTAGTCTAATGGATGAAAAACTCAAACTGACTGATGTGGCTGTAATCTTGGGCCTGTGAGGTAGAACAGCAGAAAAAAAATAGGAATTTAGAAGAAGAAGACTTGGTTTGAATTTATCTCCTTTAATAGGTGTGTGGCGGCTGGGCACGGTGGCTCACGCCTGTGATCCCAGCACTTTGAGAGGCTGAGGCGGGCGGATCATGAGGTCAGGAGACTGAGACCATCCTGGCTGACGTGGTGAAACCCCGTCTCCACTAAAAATACAAAAAATTAGCCAGGCATGGTGGCATGCGCCTGTAGTCCCAGCTAATCAGGAGGCTGAGGCTGGAGAATCGCTTGAACCCAGGAGGTGGAGGTTATTGTGAGCCGAGATCGCACCACTGCACTCCAGCCTGGGCGACAGAGTGAGACTTCGTCTCAAAAAAAAAAAAAAAAAAGGAATGTGTCAGCCAGGTGTGGTGGCTCACACCTGTAATCCCAACACTTTGGGATGCTGAGGTGGGTGGATTGCTTGAGCCCAGTAGTTCAAGACCAGCGTGGGCAAAAATGATAAAACTCTGTCTCTACAAAAAATACAAAAAATTTACCCAGATGTGGTGGTGCATGCCTGTAGTCTCAGTTATTTAGGAGGCTCAGGTGGGAGAATCATTTGAGCCTGGGAGGTCGAGGCTGCAGTGAGCCAAGACTGCGCCACTGCACTCTAGCCTGGGCAACAGAGTGAGACTCCGTCTCAAAAAATAAAAAAAAAAAAAAAAGCAGGGAGGACTGTAACTTTTGTCGTTTTTAGCTCTAAGTGGAATTATTTGCCTCCTGGCATTTACCTTTCTGCTGCTCCCATCTCTCATAGAACAACACAGCTAAACTGGTGAAGCAGCTGAGCAAGTCAAGTGAGGATGAAGGTAGGGTGCCACTCCTGCTCTCTCATGGGCTTTTCTCTATTACTTCCACTTAATTACCTTAATATCTTTTCCCATCCTTGGATTGTCCCTTCACTTTTCTCTTTCTACCTCACCTTGCTTTTTTTCCTTCTTTTAAAGAGAAAGTTCCTCTAACCTGTACCCTCTTTCCTGTTCTCAATTCCAAAGTTGTTCATTTCTCTGTTGCTGAATATAAGGTGCCATACTTTAACTGGAAGCTGATTCCTAAAATTGCTTGTTATAAAACACATACACTTAAAATTTGCTGTGGGAAATAGTATCATCCTAGCGTGTCTCATCTGTGAAACTCCTATTACTAAATGATAAATTATGAAATGAGTTTATAAGTGGAAATGTTGGCCAGAAGAGAGGTGCCATAGATCAGAGATGTTATTTGCCAAGTACAAAAGGAAAGAGTTACAAAGTATTTTTTCATATATTTAGAAACAAATTTTATTCTTGTTTTCACATCTATAAAGGAAAATAAAAAGTCTTCAGATTGTTGTAACAATTAGGTGTGTTATACATAAAGCAACTAACGTAGCTTTTTAAAAAAATGTCAGTTTTTGAGGAACTGGTGGATTTTGGTTACATGTATAAGTTCTTTAATGGTGATTTCTGAGATTTTGGTACACTCATCACCCAAGCAGTGTACACTGCACCCAACGTGTAGTCTTTTACTAATGTAGATTTTAACCACATATTCTGAAATATTAGGTCTTTTTACTCCAGAGTGGTGTGATGACATCAGAGTTGAAAGTTATCCAAGTAGAACACAACTCTAATTCATTGTTCCATTTTTTAAGGGTTTGGTTTTTAAGCATATCTCATGTTCTTCTTAAAACTTTGGGTTACTTTCTCCGTTACATAAATTTTCACAATATTTTCTCAAACCTCCCATTTTCTGTTCCTGGAAGAATGTTACTTTACATTATTTAGGCATTTCCCCTTTCTGTCACCTGCAGAGCTCCGGAAATTGGCCTCAGTCCTTGTCAGCGACTGGATGGCTGTCATCCGCTCTCAGAGCAGTACCCAGCCTGCTGGTAAGCTCCTTAGTCCTTTATCCTTTGTATTTATTTCTTTCCTATTGGGATGTGGCCTTTAGGTGCTCCCAGTCTGCTTCACCTCTGACAGTGTTCATCTAAATAAAATCCTTTTCTGCTTTGTTTTTTCACAACAGAGAAAGATAAGAAGAAACGTAAAGATGAAGGAAAAAGTCGAACTACCCTTCCTGAGCGACCTTTGACAGAGGTGAAGGCTGAGACCCGGGCTGAGGAGGCCCCAGAGAAGAAGAGGGAGAAGCCCAAGTCTCTTCGCACCACAGCACCCAGTCATGCCAAGTTCCGTTCCACTGGTAAGACTGGCGGCTGGCCTCTGGAGGGTTCATGGGCATGTGCACACCCAGAGCCTTATGGGGGAATCATTTGATGTGTGGTATGTTAATCGTAAGGAAGAGGGAAGACTAGCAGAGGAAGCTTTGGTTACAAGGCTAGAAGAACATTTGCGGGTGAGAACGGGAGGAAAATTCGGGGGTCTGGGGTTTGAGTTCAGCTGCCCACACCGTGCTTCTTTCCCCAGGACTAGAGCTGGAGACACCATCCTTGGTGCCTGTGAAGAAGAATGCCAGCACAGTGGTGGTTTCTGACAAGTACAACCTTAAACCCATCCCCCTCAAACGTCAGAGGTATGGACCATATTCTCAGGCTCTGAATGGGGTGGATCTGTGGACACAAGGGAGCAGGAGGGGGTGAGTCGGAGATGTTGATGACAGTTCCTCTTCTGACAGCAACGTAGCTGCTCCAGGAGATGCCACTCCCCCTGCAGAGAAGAAATACAAGCCACTCAACACAACACCTAATGCCACCAAAGAGATCAAAGTGAAGATCATCCCGCCACAGCGTGAGTCTAAAGTGGGGAAGATGTACTTTGAATTAGGAGCAAACTTTTTTTTTTTTTTTTTTGGAGACAGAGTCTCACTCTGTCACCCAGGCTGGAGTGCAGTGGCACGGTCTTGGCTCACTGCAAGCTCCGCCTCCCGGGTTCACGCCATTCTCCTGCCTCAGCCTCCCGAGTAGCTGGGACTACAGGTGCCCGCCACCACGCCCGGCTAATTTTTTGTATTTTTAGTAGAGATGGGGTTTCACCATGTTAGCCAGGATGGTCTTGATTTCCTGACCTCGTGATCCACCCACCTCAGCTTCCCAAAGTGCTGGGATTACAGGCATGAGCCACCGCACCTGGCCAGGAGCAAACTCTTATGGGAATGAATGTCCCTGGGAACGAGAAGTTTTTTCCCTTCTCTTTTATTATTTCCCTCCATTTTCCTTTGATTTCTTGGTATCCCTTACTTTTTGTACCTCTGGAACTCCCGTTTCAGGGGTCACTTAGGAGTAATTTTAGAGATAAGATAGGGACGTGTGCCATTCTGTGACTGGTCAGGGGCACCTGGTAAGGTGATCTGTCATGTTCACAAGGGCTCACTTCGTCAGCTACCTGAGCTATAATTCACATCCAAAGCTATGGCTTGCCTGCCATGAGAAACCTAGAATAACAACAAGAATATCCTGTGTGAATCCTCCTGCATGTGCTTCCTGGTCCTCTTGAGCTTATCGTGTCCTAAGTTGAGGCAGGGTCTTCACTGGCTCATTTTATGCCTGGACTGTGTTTGCAGGTGTAGGATTATGAAGGAGGTCTGATGATGCCATTTGGTGCTCTTTCTTTTTGTAGCTATGGAGGGCCTGGGCTTTCTGGATGCTCTTAATTCAGCCCCTGTTCCAGGCATCAAAATTAAGAAGAAAAAAAAAGTACTGTCACCTACGGCTGCCAAGGTATGGGCTCCCAGAAGTAGGTTTCAGTGACAGAGTATAAAAGGTAAAGTAGAAGAAAGGGCACAGCAGCTAGGAGTTGTCGGGGAGGACAACAAGAGGCGTTTTGCCTTGGATATAGACTGGTGCAGGTGAGACATTGTGGAGACAGAGTCTTCCTTTATATAGGAACTGTTGGGGGACTGTGCCTGGGACCCTGGACTAATTGCCTTGCCCTTGGCTTTCCAGTCAGTTCATTAACTTCCTTTTCTTTCACAATAGCCAAGCCCCTTTGAAGGGAAAACGAGCACAGAACCAAGCACAGCCAAACCTTCTTCCCCAGAACCAGCACCACCTTCTGAGGCAATGGACGCAGACCGTCCAGG
Source organism: Homo sapiens (assembly GCF_000001405.40). Classification (NCBI taxonomy): domain Eukaryota; kingdom Metazoa; phylum Chordata; class Mammalia; order Primates; family Hominidae; genus Homo; species Homo sapiens. Next base: position 1,905,389 of record NT_167249.2, on the reverse strand, counting down.
CACCCCGGTTCCCCCTGTTGAAGTCCCGGAGCTCATGGATACAGGTAATCTAGAAACTGGTTCAGTTTGGGGGGTTTTCTGAAAGGAGGGATCTGGGTCTGAAACCTCTTCTGCTTCCAGCCTCTTTGGAGCCAGGAGCTCTGGATGCCAAGCCAGTGGAGAGTCCTGGAGATCCTAACCAACTGACCCGGAAAGGCAGGAAGAGGAAAAGTGTGACATGGCCTGAGGAAGGCAAACTGAGAGAATATTTCTATTTTGAATTGGATGAAACTGAACGAGGTAAGAGGTCATTTCCTACGTAATAGGTGTGTTTAAGGGATTTTGAAAGGACTTGGTTGTGCTTACTTTCCCTCTTGCTTTTCTTCCCCTGCCGACAGTAAATGTGAATAAGATCAAGGACTTTGGTGAGGCGGCTAAGCGAGAGATACTGTCAGACCGACATGCATTTGAGACAGCGCGGCGTCTGAGCCATGATAACATGGAGGAGAAGGTGCCCTGGGTGTGCCCCCGGCCCCTGGTTCTGCCCTCACCTCTTGTCACCCCTGGAAGCAATAGTCAGGAGCGATATATCCAGGCTGAGCGGGAGAAGGGAATCCTTCAGGAGCTCTTCCTGAACAAGGAGAGGTGAGCAGAGTGGGGTTCGTGCCCTGGGATGTTGAGTGCTTGGACACTCCTGAGGGAACATGAGCTGGGGTAATTACGGGGTGGAGGTTAGAAATTACTTTCAGGGTCTGAATTAATAACTTGACTATCATTCTTTTTTCTCTCACCTGTGTTGTTCCTGATAGTCCTCATGAGCCTGATCCTGAGCCCTACGAGCCCATACCCCCTAAACTCATCCCCCTAGATGAGGTAAGTCAATGTTCTGTGATGATGGAAGTTGTGATGGTCATTGAATTCGGTGCATCTTTCATATGAGAATGTCTCTGTTCTGTCAGTCCTGATTTTTTTTGTTCTTCTTTCAGGAGTGTTCCATGGATGAGACTCCGTATGTTGAGACTCTGGAACCTGGGGGGTCAGGTGGCTCACCTGATGGGGCAGGAGGCTCCAAGTTGCCTCCAGTTCTGGCCAATCTTATGGGAAGCATGGGTGCTGGAAAGGGCCCCCAAGGCCCTGGAGGAGGAGGCATTAATGTCCAAGAGATCCTCACCTCCATCATGGTACGCACCCTCCTTCCCCTTTTCCACCTTCTGTGGAGCCTCCTTAAGCTCGCTCTCCTCACTGTCTCCCATTCGCCTTACCCCAGTTCTCCACATCTACCCACTTACCCCTAATCTTTGGCGCTATCTTTCGCCATGGTTGTTACCCTTTCTGTCTGTTGACTTTGCCTTCTTACATCCTCACAGGGTAGCCCAAACAGTCATCCTTCAGAGGAACTACTGAAACAACCAGACTATTCGGACAAGATCAAGCAGATGCTGGGTAATCTTCAGGGCCAGCCCCAGGGGACTGGGGGAGGAAGCCTGCAGTGGAGTTGGGGGAAGCAGGGTTTCAAAGATGCAGAAGAATACAGGGCTGTGGCCACTAGGCAAGAAATGGGAGGGGAAGACTGGACAGAGAGAGCATTGCTCTGCCAGGTTGGTTTGAGAGGGTCAGTTGGTTGCACCTAAATGGGAGATCATGCTAGTCTTCTAGAGTGCTCATGCTGTGTTACTCTTGTTTTCATTAACAGTGCCACATGGACTCCTAGGCCCTGGCCCAATAGCCAATGGTTTCCCACCAGGGGGTCCTGGGGGCCCCAAGGGCATGCAGCACTTTCCCCCTGGACCTGGGGGACCTATGCCAGGTAGGTGGTGAGTAAAAGGTTGGAATGGGCTTATCTGCTTAATTTCAGTCTGATAATAGTATAGGATTGACTGGAAGGTGGGAGGTGGTGGTTTAGGTTGGGAGATGGCAGTTCCTGGTAGCTGATACTGTCTCTCTTTTTTGTCCCCTTACAGGTCCCCATGGAGGCCCTGGTGGGCCAGTGGGTCCACGTCTTCTGGGTCCTCCACCCCCTCCCCGGGGAGGTGATCCCTTCTGGGATGGCCCGGGCGACCCTATGCGGGGTGGCCCAATGCGGGGGGGTCCAGGACCAGGTCCTGGACCATACCATAGAGGCCGAGGTGGCCGAGGAGGAAACGAACCTCCTCCTCCTCCTCCTCCATTCCGAGGCGCCAGAGGAGGTCGCTCTGGAGGAGGACCCCCAAATGGACGAGGGGGCCCTGGTGGGGGCATGGTTGGAGGTGGTGGGCATCGTCCTCACGAAGGCCCTGGTGGGGGCATGGGCAACAGCAGTGGACATCGTCCCCACGAAGGCCCTGGCGGTGGCATGGGAAGTGGGCATCGCCCCCATGAAGGCCCTGGTGGTAGCATGGGTGGGGGTGGAGGACATCGTCCCCACGAAGGCCCTGGCGGTGGCATCAGTGGTGGCAGTGGCCATCGTCCCCATGAAGGCCCTGGCGGAGGAATGGGTGCCGGTGGTGGACATCGCCCCCACGAAGGCCCTGGCGGAAGCATGGGTGGAAGTGGTGGACATCGTCCCCATGAAGGCCCTGGACACGGGGGGCCCCATGGCCACCGGCCTCATGATGTCCCTGGTCACCGAGGCCATGACCATCGAGGGCCGCCACCTCATGAGCACCGTGGCCATGATGGTCCTGGCCACGGGGGAGGGGGCCACCGAGGGCACGATGGAGGCCACAGCCATGGAGGAGGTGAGGATGCTCCCTGTCCCCCATATGCCTTTTGGTTGTCCCATACAAGCTTTTGGGGAGTGGGTGAGAGTCACTACTGTTGGTAGCTAGGCAGAACGTGAGGTACCCGTCTCTTTGATGTCCTAGTATGCATAGCAGTTCCTACTCTATGCCCTTCCCCCAAATCCCCAAGATTGTCTCTGAAAGACAGTTCTCAGGATGTCATGGACAAGGGGTGGTGAGGGTGGCATTGCCCTCAGCTATTTCCTGTCTAACTGTTTTGCCATCGTTCCCACAGACATGTCAAACCGCCCTGTCTGCCGACATTTCATGATGAAGGGCAACTGCCGCTATGAGAACAACTGTGCCTTCTACCACCCGGGTGTCAATGGGCCCCCCCTGCCCTAGGGACCATTTGCCTGCCCTGTTCACACAACCCCTGTGGACTGCAGCCTCGCTCTTTCCACCCTGTTATGGCTTCTGTGAGGCCCATTTTCCCTTTTCCCCAGCTGATGAGGAGCCGGCCCCCTCAGTTCCCACTTGCTTGGGTTCCTGGGGGTTTTCTGATCACTGGTGCGCATTGATGTACATATTTTCCTCCAGTCTGGGGAGGAGAGAGACTGGAAACGTTCCTGGACTGCTGAAGAGGAGACCCAGTTGGCTTCACTTTTTGAGAAGATTCGCCCTGTACCCCAAACCCCTTTCCAGTATTACCCTTAATGCTTGAGAACCTAAAGCTGGTTATCCTGGCGAACACCCCTACCCTTCTATTGCGGGTCCCCACATGCACACAGAACTCTGACACAGGATCAGCTGCACTTAAGAAATCATCCCAGCTAAGTTCATTATTCCTCATGGGGTGGGGAGATGCTGAAAGGGGTATTGTATATCCCACTGCACTGAGAGGGCTCAATCAGCTGGATTTGAGTTCTGGAACACACATCATCCCCACCCCTCCCCCAGCGTGGGCTCACCATTCTTAGTCCTTTCTCAAGTGGGACCTTCAACTTTCTGTGAACACCCAGTCTGCGTCCTGGGTCTGCTAGGTTCGATGATGGCGAACTCGTATCTGCATCCGGTGCAAGTTTTAGCTGGCAGAGGTGAGACCGGTGGTGCTGGTCTGCCTTTGCCAACTATAGCCAGTCTGGAGACTTGATAAAATACTTCAGTGAGACCAGCTTCTCATCAACTTGGGCCCGGCGTGCTGGGCCTGAAAGTCACACTACATGCACTGCCTTTGGGAGTCAGCTCACTCCCTGCTCCCACCTGGAACCTTGCCAGCGTGAAGGAGGCTTCCAGGTACTTCACCCTGTCAACCACCTCTGAATCCCCACCAGGCGCCTTCCTGGGTGGATTCAACAAGATGATTTTGCCCTTTCCCAGTTCTCTCCTTCACTTTGGCATCAGTTGTTTTCTATGAAAACAGTGGATTGGTTGGGTTTTGTGCAGGGTCTTGGGTTAGAGCCAAAATGGATTTGAGGATGAGTATTTTTTTTTTTGGTTTTGTATATTTTGTACATTAATAATAAACAGTGGAAAGAGAAGCAGCTTATTTAACCCCTAGTGTGTTTGGACTTTTTTGAGACGGAGTCTCGCTCCGTTGCCTGGGCTAGAATGCAGTGGTGCAGTCTTGGCTTACTGCAATCTCTGCCTCCTGGGTTCAAGGGATTCTTCTGCCTCAGTCTTCTGAGTAGCTGGGATTCCAGGCACCTGCCACCATGCCTGGCTAATTTTTTTGTATTTTTAGTAGAGACTTGGTTTCACCATGTTGGCCAGGCTGGTCTGGAACTCCTGACCTCGTGATCTGCCCGCCACGGCCTCCCAAAGCGCTGGGATTACAGGCGTGAGCCACCGCGCCCGGCCTGGACTGTTTTTCATTTTTTTTTTTTTAAAGCCATTACCACCTGTGTTAGATACATTAGTACAAATCTGTGGAATCTGATTTTTACTCCTCTGGAGCTAATGCTTGATCTAACAGTTGCTATTAAGTACTGGTGAAAAAATGCTTCAAAAAGTACATAAAATACTCTAGGATACAGAGTAGATCTCGGCCACAGGGCTCTTTCCTGGTTTTCATCTTTCTGAGTCTTCTTTAACACGCCTCGTGTGTGTTCCTAGAACAGTCCTATCCTGGCTATCGTGCCCTCTAGGATGTGTTCTTGGTCATCTTATCCACATTCTACAGATAAGGGAGGAAATCCTGAGGATGCTGGAGTCAGATAAAGGCCATTGTCCCAGCTCTACCTCTCTACAGCCTGGGTGACCTTAGCCAGGTTAGTGTTGGGTATCAGTGGCTCATGTCTGTAATCCCAGCACTTTTGGGAGGCCGAGGTGGGAAGACTACTTGAGCCCAGGAGTTTGAGACCAGCCTGAGCAACATAGGGAGACCAGGTCTGTACAAAAAATACAAAAAATATTAGGCATGGTGGCACATGCCTTTAGTTCCAGCTACCTGGGAGGCTGAGGCGAGAGGATCACTTGAGCCTGGGAGTTCAAACTCACAGCTATGATTGTACCACTGCAATCCAGCCGGAGCAACAGAGCAAGACCCTGTCTCAAAAAAAAAAAAAAAAAAAAAAAAAGCCAGGCATATTGGGTCATGCCTGTAATCCCATCACTTTGGGAAGGCGAGGTGGGTGGATCACCTGAGGTCAGGAGTTGGAGACCAGCCTGGCCAACATGACAAAACCCCGTCTCTACTAAAAATACAAACATTAGCTGGGTGCCTATAACCCAGCTACTCCGGAGGCTGAGGCGGGAGAATCCCTTAAACCCAGGAGGTGCAGGTTGCAGTGAGCCGAGATCATGCCACTGCACTCCAGCCTGAGTGACAGGGCAAAATTCCGTCACAAAAAAACAAAGGGTAAGTATAGACTGCTCTTCCCAAAGTGGCTCTGGCCAGGCATGGTGGCTCAAGCCAGTAATCCCAGCACTTTGGGACGCCAACATGGGAGGATCACTTGAACCCAGGAGTTCAAAACTACCCTAAGCAACATAGGGAAGCTCCATTTCCCCATTTCCGCGCCTGGCCTCCACTCTTCTTAAACCAGAAATTAAAGCTGGGCATGTTGGCTCACGCCTGTAATCCCAGCACTTTGGGAGGCCCACATGGGAGGATCACTTGAACCCAGGAGTTCAAAACTACCCTAAGCAACATAGGGAAACTCCATTTCCCCATTTCCGCGCCTGGCCTCCACTCTTAAACCAGAAATTAAAGCTGGGCGTGGTGGCTCACGCCTGTAATCCCAGCACCTTGGGAGGCCGAAGCAGTTGGATCACCTGAGGTCAGAAGTTCGAGACCAGCCTGGCCAACATGAAGAAACCCCATCTCTACTAAAAATACAAAAATTAGCTGGGTGTGGTTACTGGCGCCTGTTATCCCAGCTACTCGGAAGGCAGGAGAATCGCTTGAACCCAGGAGGCAGAGGTTGCAGACTGCACCACTGCACTCCAGCCTGGGCAACAAGAGTGAAACTCCATCTGAAAAAAAAAGAAAGGATACATCACTCTGGGGGGAGTGTGTGTGGCAGATATGGGGCAGTTGAAGATATTAACATGTTTTAACATGTGGGTTGAGAATGGCGGTTTTCAAGTCTGTTAGCATTCATCAGGATCATCTGAAGAGCTTATTAGAAAACAAATCTGGGGCCGGGTGCAGTGGCTCATACCTGTAAACCCAGCACTTTGGGAGGCCAAGGCGGGTAGATCAGGAGGTCAGGAGTTCGAGACCAGCCTGACCAACATGGAGAACCCCCGTCTCTACTAAAAATACAAAAATTAGCCGGGCGTGGTGGCGCATGCCTGTAATCCCAGCTACTCGGGAGGCCGAGGCAGGAGAATTGCTTGAACCCGGGAGGTGGAGGTCGTGGTGAGCCGAGATCGCACCATTGCACTCCAGTCTGGGTAACAAGAGCGAAACTTGGTCTCAAAAAAAAAAAAAAAAAAAAGAAAGAAAAAAAAAAACAAATTTGGGTTGGATGCAGTGGCTTATGCCTGTAATCCCAGCACTTTGAGAGGCCAAGGCGGATGGATCACCTGAGGTGAGGAGTTTGTGACCAGCCTGGCCAACATGGTGAAATCCCATCTCTACTAAAAATACAAAAATTAGTCAGGCATGGTGGCTCGCGCCTGTAATCCCAGCTACTTGGGAGACTAAAGCAGGAGAATCACTTGAACCCGGGAAGTGGAGGTTGCAGTGAGCAGAGATCACACCACTGCACTTCAGCTTGGGTGACAGAGCCAGACTCCATCTCCATCTCAAAAAACAAAAACAAAACAAAAAGAAAAAACAGACAGATTGGGGGTAGGGTCCAGCAAAATTCTGATTTAGTAGGTCAGGATGGATCCCGAGATATGCATTTCTAACAAATTCCCAGTTGCTGAGGCTGCTACACTGCCCTGGAATACGTGTCTCAGCTGTATTTCCAGCATTGGCCACATGAGGGGGCAACAATGTTTTATCAGTATCTGAAAGGCCTCACTGCATGTAGGCCCAAAGTGGGTAGTTTTACCTTCCCCTTGCCCAGGCTTGGTGTGTGTGGGCGGAGGTGTTCAGGTCAGTCTGTTGTTGCTGTGTGCACTGGGAGAAGACCTGAGAAGACATAATCTAAGGACCAGGCTAGGGCGTGAAATACCAAAGAAGTATACAGCTCAAGTGAAAAAACCCAAACATGTCACAACCTAGTGGTCACAACTTTGTGTCTCTTTCTGCTTCCATTTACTGCCTGCTTCTCACCTTTCTTCTATCTCCTGCAACAAGCCACAAGAACCTTAAAAGAGAGCTTAAAGTTTTTACTGTATTTTAAGAATAAGCTCGGCCGAGCGCGGTGGCTCACACCTGTAATCCCAACACTCTGGGAGGCCGAGGCGGGCAAATCCCAAGGTCAGGAGATGGAGACCATCCTAGCCAACATGGTGAAACCCCGTCTCTATTAAAAATACAAAAATTGCCAGGCGCGGTGGCTCACGCCTGTAATCCCAGCACTTTGGGAGGCCGAAGCGGGCAGATCATGAGGTCAGGAGATGGAGACCATCCTGGCTAACAAGGTGAAACCCCTTCTCTACTAAAAATACAAAAACTTAGGTGGGTGTGGTGGCGGGTGCCTGTAATCCCAGCTACTGAGGAGACTGAGGCAGGAGAATGGCATGAACCCGGGAGGTGGAGCTTGCAGCGAGCAGAGATCGCGCCACTGCACTCCAGCCTGGGCGACAGAGCAAGACTCTGTCTCAAAAAAAAAAAAAAATTAGCCGGGAGTGGTGGCACGCACCTGTAGTCCCAGCTACTTGGGAGGCTGAGGCAGGGGAATCGCTTGAATCCAGGAGGCAGAGGTTGCAGTGAGCCGAGATAACGCTACTGCATTCCAGGATGGCGACAGAGCAAGACTCCGTCTAAAAAAAAAAGAAAGAATGAGCTCATTTTCTTTCAAATCATTTATGAAAATTCGGCCAGGCGTGGTGGCTCACGCCTGTAATCCCAGCACTTTGGGAGGCCGAGGCGCGTGGATCACCTGAGATCAGGAGTTCGAGAGCAACCTGACCAACATGGTGAAACCGTCTCTACTAAAAATACAAAAAATTAGCCGGGCGTGGTGACTGGTGCCTGTAATCCCAGCTACTCTGGAGGCTGAGGCAGAAGAATCGTTTGAACCCAGGAGGCGGAGGTTGCAGTGAGCTGAGATCGTGCCATTGCACTCCAGCCTGGGTGACAGCAAAATTTCATCTCAAAAAAAAAAAAAAAAAAAATTCAAAGAAACCTGTTTTTTTTTTTTAGACAAGTTTCACTCTTTTGCCCAGGCTGGAGTGAAATGGCACGATCTTGGCTCACTGCCCCCTGGGTTCAAGGATTCTCCTGCCTCAGCCTCCTGAGTAGCTGGGATTGTAGGCACCTGCCACCACGCCTGGCTAATTTCTGTATTTTTAGTAGAGATGGGGTTTTACCATCTTGTCCAGGCTGGTCTCGAACTCCTGACCTCAGGTGATCCACCCGCCTTGGCCTCCCAAAGTGCTGGGATTACAGGTGTGAGTCACGGCACCCGGCCTACCTGTTCCTTTTTACTTACGTAAAAACTTTAGATTATATAAAGAGAAGATTTTCCTTGTTTTTTGTTTTTTTGCAGGGGGAGAGAGGTTGAACATTTCATTCATTTCACTACAATGATGTTTCTTCACCAAGCCCTCCCTGCAAGCACTTTTCTCTCTACCGTTTCAGTCTGTTTTTCCTTTCTGCTTCCATTTTTTCCCTCTAAAATACCCTTGTGACATTCAACGTTCTCTTTCTGTCAATCCTTCCCCAGGTGCAACGGGGTCTATCTTCAATTCAGAATCATTATCCTATTTCTTTCATTCCTACTCCTGGGCAGTAGACCTAATGTTGAAAAATCACAAAATCCTACTATCTTAGCCCAGTACAAATTAATGTTAGCATTGATTCTACACTTACTGCTGCTCAGCAAACCTTTTTTTTTTTTTGAGACGAAGTTTTGCTCTTGTTGCCCAGGCTGGAGTCCAATGGCATGATCTCCGCTCACTGCAACCTCCACCTCCCAGGTTCAAGTAATTCTCCTGCCTCAGCTTCCTGAGTAGCTGGGATTACAAATGCGTGCCACTACTCCTGGCTAATTTTTGCATTTTTAGTAGAGACGGTGTTTTGCCAAGTTGGTCAGGCTGGTCTCGAACTCCTGACCTCAGGTGATCCGCCTGCCTCGGCCTCCCAAAGTGCTGGGATTACAGGCATGAGGCACCGTGCGCGGCCTACTCTTCTTGATTCTCTGGCACCAAAGCTTGGGAAAAAGTGAGTCCCATCCACTGTGAGCAACATTTTCCCTTCCCTTCACATGGAAATATCTGAGTCTACATTATCTCCCTTCCATTCCATTCTTAGATGAAGAGAATCTTCTTTCCAAAGTAATATTGAGCTGTTCTCCTGGCATCTCTTTTCCCTGTCTCCCCACACCCACTATTTGCCACCTAGCAGCCAGGAGCAATTTTGTAAAAATGAAAACTGAATCAGTTTGCACTCCTGGCTAAACAGAACCAATGGCCTCCCATTGCTCAGCCTCTCCTCATCACATCCCAACCTGCTGTCTATGCATATAAGGCCCCGTGTGTATTGGCGCATGCTCAAGTTCTCAGCTCCAGCCATTCCTTGACCATGTTCAGCTCTTTTCAGCCTCAGGGTCTTTGCACATTTTGGTCCCTTCCCTGAAGGCTCTTCCTTTCCTACCTTCAGGCTTTGGCTTTAATGAGGCTGAGGTGGGAGGATAACTTGAACCCAGGAGTCTGAGACCAGCCCGGGCAACAAAGCAAGACCTCTTTGCTACAAAAAAATTAAAAAATTGGCTGGGCATGTTGGTGGACACTTGTAGTCCCAGCTACTTGAGAAGCTGAGGTAGGAGGATCACTTGAGTCCAGAGGGTTGAGGCTGCAGTGAGCCATGATTGTGCCACTGCACTCCAGCCTGGGAAACAGAGGGAGACCACATCTCAAAACAACAAAAAACACATTTCTACGATGTTTACTGTGTACCACATATGTGCATCACTTGTAGGTAATAAGCTGTTTATAAATAAAACAATTTAATTTGGTTAATGAAATTTCCATGCGCTACCATGGAAATGTTTCCCTTTCGTGTTCCATTTCTATGCTGCTTTTTGGAGGGCATACTTTTGCCCACATTTAGGTGAATTATTAATTCCATTAACAGCACATATGATTGGCTACAGGGATCACAGAAGTTAAAACATACACGGGAGGAGATAAAGTTTGTGGCCAGGTGCCGTGGCTCATTCCTGTAATCCCAGCACTTTGGGGAGCCTAGGAGAAAGGACTGCTTGAGGCCAGGAGTTTGGGACCAGCCTGGGCAATATAGCAAGGCCTCATCTTTAAAAAAAAAAAAAAAAAAAAAGAACAGAGAGAGAAATGAAATTTATGCCTGTGGCGGAAAGTTATTTTGGAGTACTTAAAGTACTTTTCTCACTTATGTTTGAAGTAGTGAAATTAGTGACCAAATATTTGAAATGCAAGCTGGTATTCACTTTATAAATAACATTCCTATATATTTTATGTATCATCTCAACTAGACTAGCGAAGTAAAAACTTAAAAATGCAAAAGTATAGGCCAGGTGCGGTGGCTCACGCCTGTAATCCCAGCACTTTGGGAGGCCGAAGTGGGCAGATCACCTGAGGTCAGGAGTTTGAGACCAGACTGGCCAACATGGCAAAACCTGATCTCTACCAAAAGTACAAAACTTAGCCGGGCGTGGTGGCACGTGCCTGTAATCTCAGCTACTTGGGAGGGTGAGACAGCAGAATTACTTGAACCCAGGAGGCAGAGGTTGCAGTGAGCCAAGATCACGCCACAGCACTCCAGCCTGGCAACAGAGTAAGACTCCATCTCAAAAAAAAAAAAAAAAAAATATATATATATATATAATATGAAATACATATAACAAAAGCAACAGAATTTAAGGCACTTTACGTATTATTACACATTGAATCCCCTAATAACCCTGTGAAGTAGGTAACTACCACCTTCATTTTACAGATGAGAAAAGAGGTATCAAGAGGCTAATGGCTTGTCCAAGGTCACTGCCAAGACCCTGACTTTTCCCCCTCAAATTCCATAAGAGGCATGTTTCCTGATGTCTTTTGGTTTTTGTTTGAGACAGAGTCTCGCTCTGTTGCTCAGGCTGGAGTGCAGTGGCGCAACCTCGGCTCACTGCAACCACTGCCTCCCGGGTTCAAGCAATTCTCCTGCCTCAGCCTCCTGAGTAGCTGGGACTACAGGTGTGCACCACCACGCTCGGCTAATTTTTTTGTATTTTTAGTGGAGATGGGGTTTCAATATGTTGGTCAGGGTGCTCTCGAACTCCTGATCTCATGATCTGCCCGCCTCCCAAAGTGCTGGGATTACAGGCATGAGCCACCATGCCCGGCCTCCTTATTTTTAATTTAGAGTGTTCCCTGACTATGCAGCTATCTCCACACCAAAACTTCACTTCCTGTATGAAGCTTGTACTTGAAGTCCAGTATTATTTATTCACTTGGCTGGAAAACAATTTCCCCAAATTAAATGTCCAAACAGTTAAATCTTAGCCACACAGCTCTCCCTATTCCCTCTGGAACTGGATATATCTCCTGTCACTCCCTTCTCCCCAACCTCCACATCTGCTCTTTCCATCCCTATCTCCCCTAGCTAGTTTAGGATTCAGTTACCCCATTCCCGTAACAAAAGTTATGGGCTTCACCCTGCAGGTTTCTACAGCACGCCTTGCACATCACCACCTAATACCACTACCCACCATTTGCATTTTACTTTCCAAACCCATCTCCCCAGTCTAACTCTTAAGAAAAATGGCCACAGCAGCTATCATCCATTAACTCCCAAGTAGCTTGTTCTTCCCCCCAAGCCTGAGATCTGCTCTTTTCCTACTTCTGAAAAATGGCTCCCTGGTCCCTGATTAGTCAAATCATCATTTTTCAAGATCTACCCTCAAGTGACCCTGTCAAATAATCAGGCCCTGGATAATCTTTCCCTTTTTTGAGTATGTGGCAACTTAGAATCTAGAGTACGACATATTAGACAATTGATCAAATTAATTATCTATTCATGCTTACTTTTAAGTCTTCTCTAACCAGACTATTAATGAAGGCAGATCTTGTCTCTTCCCTTCTTATATACCCCACAGTACCGTACATTTTGGCTAGATGATTTAATAATTTTTGAGAGAATCAATACCCTGGTCCCTGGCCACAGGGCAGAGCACCTCCTCATTCATGAGATTAACTTGGACAATGAGACCCAAATTCTGGCTAGGCGTCGTGGCTCACGTCTATAATCCCAGCACCCCAGCACTTTGGGAGGTCGAGGTAGGAAGACTGCCTGAGGTCAGGAGTTCAGGACCAGCCTTAAGCAACATAGCAAGACACTGTCTCTACTAAAAATTAAAAAAAAAAAAATTAGTTGAGTGTGGCGGCACATGCCTGTAGTCCCAGCTACTCAGGAGGCTGAGGTGGAAGGATTGCTTGAGCCCAGGAGGTTGAGGGTACAGTGCACTCTAGCCTGGGCAACACAGCAAGACCCTGTCTCAGAAAAGAGAAAAAAAAAGAAGTTGGGCACAGTGGCTCATCCCTATAATCCCAGCACTTTAGGAAGTCAAGGTAGGTGAATTACTTGAGGTCAAGAGTTCGAGACCAGCCTGACCAACATGGTAAAACCCTGTCTCTATTAAAAACACTAAAATTAGCTGGGCCTGGTGGTGTGTGCCTGTAATCCCAGCTACTCGGGAGGCTGAGGCAGGAAAATTGCTTGAACCCAGGAGGTGGAGGCTGCAGTGAGCCAAGATCATGCCACTGCACTCCAGCCTGAGTGAAAGGGCAAGATTCTGTCAAAAAAAAAAAAAAAAAAAAAAAAGGAAAGAGACCCATGTTCCAAGATAGAAGGTATGAATCACTTTGCTTTTTCCTTGCGTGAAGGGTTGGGGGAAAGGAATCCTATGATCCTTAAACAGCAAACACTGTCAGCAAGACTGCAAACAAGATCCATTTAGTGGGGAAGAGGGGACTATTAAAAGCTGCTAGAAAACTGAATAAAGCAAATCAAGACTGAGAACAGTTCCAACTCCCATCAATCTCCAAACAGTGACAGGTCGGCAGCAACTCCTTTCCTTTATTTCTTCCCCTTGTAAAGGGAAATTCAAGTTCAGCAGCATTCCTTTCCTGCCCCAAGTCCTCAACCAGACAAGAGGCTGCAGGCACCAAATCTTGGGCTGGATAATGGCAAAGGCCTCAGAAGCTCACCTCCAGCTCTGAGCTTCAACAGCTGTTTGTACCAGTGAGTCAGCATTAAATCCACCAGAAAAGAACAGCACCACCCAAAGACTGGGGGGCAGCTGGGCCTGAAGCTGTAGGGTAAATCAGAGGCAGGCTTCTGAGTGATGAGAGTCCTGAGACAATAGGCCACATAAACTTGGCTGGATGGAACCTCACAATAAGGTGGTCACCTCTTGTTTGTTTAGGGGGATGCCAAGGATAAGGCCAGCTCAGTTATATGAAGAGAAGCAGAACAAACAAGTCTTTCAGAGAAATGGATGCAATCAGAGTGGGATCCCGGTCACATCAAGGTCACACTCCACCTTCATGTGCCTGAATGGTTGCCAGGTCAGCTGCAGGCCAGAGGCAGTCTTCAGAGGAGGGGAGACCACAGAGGACTTCTAGGCCACACAAATATGTCTCTCGGGAGACTTCTGGGAAGGAAAGCTTCACTCTCGGGGCCGGCTGACCATGACTTCACCCAGGGCCTCCAACACCTCCCGCTTGTAGTCTTCAAAGTCACCATCGATTTGGCTAACACTCTGCTCCTCCACCACCCACAGCTGGCAATTGGTTTCTGTGATGAGTCGGGCATCATGGCTGACAACGATCACAGCTTTGAAGAAAGATAGCAACAACAGAGGGCAGGAAGAAAGGAGAAAGAGGGGAATCAGAACATGAAATAAGGGAGTCCTAGGCCCTTCTGTAGTGAAGGACACTACAGCTTGGTCCCCATGGAGCAGGGATGAGGGCACACTCTCAGCTGACTTACCACCCTTGTATTCATTGATGGCCTCCCCTAGAGCATCAATAGACTCTATGTCCAGGTTATTGGTTGGCTCGTCCTACATAGGAGGAATTCCATGACTGAGCACTGCAACTCCCGTCTTCCATTACTGTTACCCTTATCCCTTTTCCCACAGCCCAGCTCACTCACCAAGATGAGGACATCAGGTTCCCGACAGGCCAGCTCAGCAAACACAACTCGCGCCTTCTGACCACCTGTAGCAAAGGAAGGGGAGGGCTGTCACACCTAGCACCTCACATTCTGAAGGCAAACCCTCAAGATGTGCCAGTTTGTGAGCTGAGGCTCCCTCATTCTCGGTTCCTCTAGGTACAGTTTGTAGACATGAATGATAAGGTGAAGGGCACCCTCCCTGGCCCCTGAAGTGGTACCAGAGAGTTTGCAGATCTGGATGGTGTGGGCGTGACTCTCCAGGCCGAAGCGGCCCAGGCACTTGCGGGCATCCTGGTAGGGCAGGTTGAAGCCCCGCTGCAGGTACTCAGTGGGCGTCTCCTCCATGCGCAGCTGCTCTGCATACTGCTGGTTGAAGAAGCCAATTTTCTGCCCGAGAAGAGAGGGAGGTGGTCGGTTAAAGTCACACTTCCTCCATCAGATTATCATTCCCTAAATCCCAATGCCAACTTACCAGCCGGTGGTTCTTTCTCATTTCCCCATGGGTCTGCAAGGGAAGACAAAGTAGTTAAGAGGAGGGCAAGGGAAAAAGGTGCTGCAGCTCCATACATCAACTTTTTTTTTTTTTTTTTGAGACGGAGTCTCGCTCTGTCCCCCAGGCTGGAGTGCAGTGGCGCGATCTCGGCTCACTGCAACCTCCACCTTCCGGGTTCACGCCATTCTCCTGCCTCAGCCTCCCCAGTAGCTGGGAATACAGGTGCCTGCCACCACACCCGGCTAATTTTTTGTATTTTTAGTAGAGACGGGATTTCACCATGTTAGCCAGGATGGTCTCGATCTCCTGACCTCGTCCATACACCAACTTTTCTGAAGGAGAGACAAACACCAGAAATGGGCCAGGGACAAGTATGCATAAGAAAAGGAATAGGGGCTGGGCACGGTGGCTCATGCCTGTAATCTCAGCACTTTGGGAGGCCAAGGAAGGCAGGTCAGGAGGCACTTAAGGTCAGGAGTTTGAGACCAGGCTGGCCAACATTGTGAAACCCTGTCTCTACTAAAAATACAATAATTAGCTGGGCATAGTGGGACATGCCTATAATCCCAGCTACTCAGGAGGCTGAGGCACAAGAATGGTTTTAACCCAGGAGGTGGAAGTTGCTGAGATCGCACCACTGCACTCCACCCTCGGGGACAGGGGAAGACTTTGTCTCAAAAAAGAAAAGGAACAGGGATGTTCCCCTAATATGACAAAGGCATGGTGAGCAAAGTAAAAGAGTTAAGGGACAAAAGGGGAGTTAAGCAAAATGGAGGACAAGAGGGACAAGCAGGAGGGACTAACCACAGCCAAAGAACACCTGCTCTCCATACAGCGAGACTCACGAATGGTACATCGTAAGGGCCTCATGTGGCAAGTTTAGTGTTTTGGGGAGAATCTAATAATACCTTTCTAAAGATCTAATCTCTGGATATGAGAAAATGGCCTCTCAACACTGCTAGAGAGAGCAGAAATGGCTACAAACTTTCTAACACACTAGATGGCAATATATTACAAAAGTTCAAATAAAATGGTAGAGTTTGCCGGGCGTGGTGGCTCACACCTGTAATCCCAGCACTCTGGGAGGCCGACGCAGGCAGATCATGAGGTCAGGAGATCAAGACCATCCTGGCTAACACGGTGAAACCATCTCTACTAAAAATACAAAAAATTAGCTGGGCGTGGTAGCACGCGCCTGTTGTCCCAGCTACTCGGGAGGCTAAGGCAGGAGAATCGCGTGAACCCAGGAGACGGAGGTTGCAGTGAGCCAAGACTGTGCCACTGCACTCCAGCCTGGGTGACAGAGTGAGACTCTGTCTCAAAAAAAAAAGGTAGACTCATATGAAATAAGTAATTGCATGGAAAAATGCTTGATATATTTGGAAAAATCTAGCTACACAACAACTCATATGACAGCCCATTTTTGTTAAAAATTATATGCACATTTGCAAAGAAAAAAGGAGAAAGATATCCACTAAAACATTAATACTGGTTATCTCAGCTGGGAGCGGTGGCTCACGCCTGTAATCCCAGCACTTTGGGAGGCTGAGGCGGGCGGATCACAAGGTCAGGAGTTCGAGACCAGCCTGACCAACATGGTGAAACCCTGTCTCTACTAAAAATACAAAAAGTAGCTGGGCATGGTGGGGCGTACCTATAATCCCAGCTATTCAGGAGGCTGAGGCAGGAGAATATCTTGAACCTGGGAGGTGGAGGTTGCAGTGGGCCAAGATCGCACCACTGCACTCCAGGCTGGGCGACAGTGAGACTCCGTCTCAAAACAAAATAACAAAAAAAAAAAACTGGTTATCTCCAGATTTTTCTCTTAAGCATTTTTTTTTTTTTTTTGACAGAGCCTCACTCTGTCACTTAGACTGGAGTGCAGTGGCACGACCTCGGCTAACTGGAACCTCTGCCCCCTGGACTCAAGCAATTCTCCTACCTCAGCCTCCCGAGTAGCTGGGACTACAGTCGTGCACCAACATACCCAGCTAATTTTTGTATTTTTAGTAGAGATGGGATTTCACCATGTTGCTCAGGCTGGTCTGTTTTTTTTTTTTAGACGGAGTTTTGCTCTTGTTGCCCAGGCTGGAGTGCAATAGCGCAATCTCAGCTCACTGCAACCTCTGCCTCCTGGGTTCAAGTGATTCTCCTGCCTCAGCCTCCCAAAATAGCTGGGATTACAGGCATGTGCAACCACGTCTGGCTAATTTTGTATTTTTAGTAGAGATGGGGTTTCTTCATGTTGGTCTCAAACTCCTGACCTCAGGTGATCTCCCACCTCGGCTTCCCAAAGTGTTGGGATTACAGGTGTGAGCCACCACAGTGGGCTCAGGCTGGTTTTTAACTCCTAAGCTCAAGTGATCTGCCTGCCTCAGCCTCCCCCAAAGAGTTGGGATTATAGGCGTGAGCCACCACGCCAGGCCAATTTTTTTTTTTTTTTTGAGATGGAGTCTCGCTCTGTTGCCCAGGCTGGAGTGCAATGGTGCAATCTCAGCTCACTGCAACCCCCGCCTCCCAGGTTCCAGCAATTCTGCCTCAGCCTCCTGAGTAGCTAGGATATAGGTGCGCGCCACCGCACACGGCTAATTTTTGTATTTTTAGTAGAGGCGGGGTTCACTATGTTGGCTAGGCTGGTCTGGAACTCTTGACCTTAGGTGATCCCTGCTGGGATTATAGGAGTGAGCTACTGTGCCTGGCCCGTTTATGCAATTTTTAATCGTTCTATAAAAGACATATATTTCTTGTATAACCAAAACACGTGGGTGTGCCCCCTAGTTCTATCTTAATTCTCTTAGCTCTCCCCCCTGAACTGATCTAAGCTCTTTCCTCCTCTACTGCCCCTCTTAGGGAAATGAATCATCTATCATGAGTTCTGTATTTAACTCTACATTCTCGAGAGGCTCCCTGATTCCAGCTTCTGGCAAAAGCAGCTGTGTCTTCACATTTCTCATGCTCTCCCTCCTTGGCTCCAGGACTCACCGGTGTCAGCTTGCCAGTCAGCAGCAGGAGTAGCGTACTCTTCCCCACACCATTAGGGCCCACAATGCAAACTGCAAGATGGAAGACAGGTGGTCAAAGAGGTCCCCAGAGACTCTCCCTGTGGCTCCTGCTACACATCCCTGAGGCAACCCCGCCAACTCACTCCTTGAATCCATGTCGATGCCAAAATCCAAGTTCTTAAAGAGTGGTTTCTGTCCCTGGTAGCCGAATGTCACACCTGAAAGCCACGAAAAGAAGCAATTTATATTCTTTTCAGTCCCTGCAAAGTCCCTCTCATGTGCTGGCCTTGGAGAACAGGAGCAATCTCAGCCTTGGTGGAGAATTTAGGGTGCACATACATGCTTCCGGTGCTTCCTGTGGAGCAGCAGAGGCCCGCGGCACTCACCATGCAGACCCAGCACTGGAGGGCTGAGTGGTGGGGGGTCTGGAAAAGTGAAGCGCACAGTGTACTCCTTAGGGCGCTTCAGGAGCTCAGGGGCCTCCTGGGATTCCTCATCTTGGTTTTTCCGTCGGCATTTCTGCTGCTTCCGAGTCAGGGCTTCCTTCGTTTGTTTTTCCTGGAGAGGAAGAGGAAAAAAGAGAAACCTGAGCCCTGCACGGCAGTCCTTGAAATGTAGGCCAGCGTTCCAGAGTCTCCTTCTTCCTCCACTGCCAGGAGAGAACAGTGGCCCCCAGCCCAGAAGTCCCTCAGGTGCTCACCGCCTGCTTGGTGGACTTCCCGCCTGCCTTCAGCTCCTTCAGCTTTTTCTCTTGCTTCTCATACTGTTTCAGCAGTTCTTTCTGCTTCTGCTGGTACATCTTTTTGAAGGTCACTGGGGCAGAAGAGGGGACCAGGCATCAGTGGTTGCTCCTCTTCCCAGCAAAGGGACAACCAGGGACTGGTGGTGATGGGGTAGGCATCACTGTCTGGAATTCTGACAGGATTCAGTTTATCTAAATAGGCCCTCCCACTCAGGCCTCTTTTCGAGGTTCTATCTCTTCCCTGCATCCACACACAATCCTACTTACTGTAATTGCCCCTATAGTAGTGGAGCCGCTGGGCATCGAGGTGGATGATATCAGTGCAGACATCATCCAAGAAGCCCTGGTCATGGGAGACGATCAGCAAGGTCTTCCGCCAGCCCTGGAGGTAGCTGGGTTTCAGAGAACAGGGTGTAAGTGTCACAGTGGTCAAGTGAGAGAGAATTCAGAGGAAGCAGGCAGACAACGGGGGCTGGGAGGGAAAGGGGGGTCTGAATAGAGCTCCACTCACAGGCACAGTGGAGAAGGGCTAAAGGAAAACAGGGCAGGGAGGGAAGGGGAAGAAAGTGCAGAATGGGAACCAATGATGCAAAGGCCGTAACGCACTTATTAAGCCAGATGACAGCGTTGAGGTCCAGGTGGTTGGTGGGCTCATCCAGCATCAGCAGTGTGGGCTCCATGAACAGTGCCCTAGAGGGTGGGTAGCAGAGGGCAGGGTCAGGGAGAGAAAGATCCTTGCTCAGACAACCCCAGAGAAAACTCGGAGATAGAGCCTGAGACCATGAACACGCCTTCCCAAGCTCTCCTCAGAGAAGTTCTCGGGCAGGATACGGTTTAATTTTTTTGAGACAGGGTCTCGCCCTGTTGCCCAGGCTGTCGTGCAGTGGCACAATAAGGGCTCACTGTAGTCTAAATCTCCCAGGTCTAAGTGATACTTCTACTTCAGCCTCCAGAGTAGCTGTGACCACAGCGTGCGCCACCATATCCAGCTGATCTTTAAATTTTTTGTAGAGACAGGGTCTCCCTATGTTGCCCAGGCTAGGATATGTTTTCTTCCCCCTTTTGTGAAGATAGAGTCTCACTATATTGCCCAGGCTGGTCTCAAACTCCTGGGTTCAAGATAATCCTCCTGCCTCTGCCTTCCAAAGTGCTGGGATTACAGGCGTGACCCATTGCACCCAGCTGCAGGGTATGTTGATGAGAACTCACCACCAAGTAGGGAGAGAAATAGAGAAAGACCCTAAGTTCTCACAACACAGATAGTAAGGAGGGAGAGGTAAGCCTTGAGCCTCCCTATTGGCCTTGGAAGAATGAGAAGGGAAAGAGGAAAAGGGCCCCGGTGGTCTGAGGCTGGAAGGGAGGGCAGTGAGGTGAATGGCCCACCTGGCCAGGGAGACACGCATGCGCCAGCCCCCTGAGAACTTCTGTGTGGGTCGATTCTGCATTTCAGGGTCAAAGCCCAGGCCAGCCAGGATCCGCCGTGCTTTGGCCTCTGCAGCTGCCGCCCCAGTGGCCCGCAATTCCTCATACACCTGGGAGGAGGGAGAAGAGGACACACGTCTGAGGGTCCCAGGAACCCCCAAGTCTTTGCCCGTGTCCCCTGCGCCATCTCCTCTACCTTCTCTAGCCTCTCAGCAGCTGTGTCATCCCCTTGTTCCAGCTGTCCCTGAAGCCGCCGCTCCTCTTCCAGCAGCTTCAATCGCTTGGTGTCAGCTCGAAGAACAGCCTGGACTGCTGGTGTCTCATCTGCTACCACCTCTGGGAGGCAGAGGGAGAACAGTCAGGCAGCCTCAAGAGCCAAGAGTCTCATCTTTCTTTCCCTTCAATTACATTTCTGTTTTGCCTGACCCTGCCCAGCTCTTTGTACTTGTTCCAAATAAAACACTCTCAAGTTCCTCATTGACCCTCCCCTCCTTTCCTTAGCATCCCTTTCCCGGTCTCCAGTCTCCCTCCACATCCCTTCCAACTCCATAGCCACAATTTCTTCTATTCTTGGCTGGCTGGCTTTTCTACCCAACTGCCCACCCCACCAAGCCCCTTTTCTCCCCAGTGGTCTCACCCTGCTCACACAGCAACACATCAATGTTGGGAGGGATGCTCAGGGCTCGGTTGGCAATGTGCTTGAGGAGTGTGGTCTTGCCCTTGCTGGGGAATAAAAGCTATTAGGACCTGGCCACCACTGAGAAATCTCTTCTTTTCCCTCCAGGCCCTTTTTTGCCTCCAGCTCCCTCCTCTTCTCACCCATTGGGTCCTACCAGCCCGTAGCGGCGGCCGGCTACAATGTACAGGTCTGCATTGACGAACAGCTCCTTGCCATGAGCGGAGATGCTGAACTTCTCCAGCTGCAGCCATCAGGAAAGAGGTGGCAGAGGGAAGGGATGATCACATGAAAATTCTCCCTTTGGGACAGGAGCGGCCACTTTCTCCCTGCAGGGAAGCCCCTGACAAACCGCTACCTCCAGCATAATCCCCTTCCTCTCCCCACAGCCGGTCCCCGCCCTGTTCGCTGCCTGTAATGGGAGCCCCATGCATCCTCAGCTAGTCTAGTCTGTCCCACACTATTTTCTGCCAAGGGTGGACCCCACTTCTACTGGTTTTTCTATCTTCTTGCTCAAGTTGGCAGAACCTAAGGTGTGGAAAATGCCTCCAATCTTTCTTCCCACTGAACTAACCCATTCACACACCACAGCCACTCAGGGAAGATGAGAGAACTGGCTCTTCCCTAGGTAAGTGGACTGGAAGGGGCCCCTTGAGACCTTACCTTGATGTCAGATGCATTTTCTAACATGGCTTGGCGGGAGGACATCTCCGCCTGGGACACGGAGAAGTCATTTTCAGCTGCATTGGCTGCTTTTAATGAAGCCACTTGGCGCTCATACTCCATCTGAGAAGGTAGGAAAAACTACATTTGAAGCCACAGTCTACCAGTTTCCCATCACCATGAAACAGCCCATGCTGGCTGGGCATGCTGGCTCACGCCTGTAATCCCAGCACTCTGGGAGGCTGAGGTAGGTGGATCTCTTGAGCTCAGGAGTTTGAGACCAGCCTGGCCAACATGCTAAAATACTGTCTCTACAAAAAATACAAAAATTAGCCAGGCATGGTGGTGCCACCCATAGTCTCAGCTATTCGGGAGGCTGAGGTGGGAGGATCACTTGAGCCTGGTAGGTTGAGGCTGCAGTGAACAGAGATCACGTCATTGCACTCCAGCCTGAGTAACAGTGTGAGACCCTGTCTCAAAAAATAAACAAAAAACCCCAAAGTGAAACAGCCCATGTCATCAGACATTGAGATAAGGTTCACAGAACACAATTATTTTCTTACTCCGATTGTTTTACTTGGAGTAGCCCCCAAACCTTTCCTTCGTGTCCCCAATCGCATGTCCCCTAGTTGAAGTATTTAAAAATCCCCTACTTTTGACCGCTAAGAACCAAGGTCTTACCTGTTTTTTCAGCTTTTTCTTCTCCTTTTTGCTAAGATGAGCATAGGGATCATCTGCCTTAGACTCTCCTCCTTCCTCCTCCTCTTCTTCCCCTTCTCCTTCTTCCTCTGAACCCTGTGAGAACCCGGGGATGGTCAAAACTAGGGACTCCTGGCTGGGCGCGGTGGCTCACGCCTGTAATCCCAGCACTTTGGGAAGCCAAAGCGGGCAGATCCCAAGGTCAGGAGATCAAGACCATCCTGGCTAACATGGTGAAACCCCATCTCTACTAAAAATACAAAAAATTAGCCGGACGTGGTGGCGGGCGCCTGTAGTCCCAGCTACTCGGGAGGCTGAGGCAGGAGAATGGTGTGAACCTGGGAGGAGGAGCTTGCAGTGAGCCGAGATCGTGCCACTGCACTCCAGCCTGGGTGACAAAGCAAGACTCCGTCTCAAAAAAAAAAACAACAAAAAAAAACTAGGGACTCCTTCTAGAACTCAGATTTCACATCATCTGCCCCCTGTCCCTGCCCCAGCTCTTTCCTTCACTACTCAGAGTCCTAAAATATCTTGGGATCCTCTCTCATTCTCATACCCAGCCCCTGGTCTCCCTGAGGTCCTTTATTAATTTCTGCTACCAGGAATGGTACAAGACAAATGGTATGAATGTGTATTTATGAAATGTGACAACGCGTTATGTCCCTATAAATGTAACTCCCAATACAATGTAACTGAAGGTGGAGTAAATGGATTTCAAGAGTTTCATTTGTATAAAATGAGTTTCTGTGGTTTCCTTGTTAACATGCAAAGAAAAGATCAGGTAGCCGTCCGGGCACGGTGGCTCATGTCTGTAATCCCAGCACTTTGGGAGGCCAAGATGGACAGATCACAAGGTCAGGAGATCAAGACCATCCTGGCTAACATGGTGAAATCCTGTCTCTACTAAAAACACAAAAAATCAGCCGGTCATGGTGGCACGTGCCTGTAGTCCCAGCTACTCGGGAGACTGAGGCAGAAGAATTGCTTGAACCCGGGAGGCAGAGGTTGCAGTGAGCTGAGATTGCGCCACCGCACTCCAGCCTGGGCAACGGAGTGAGACTCCATCTCAAAAAAAAAAAAAAAAAAAAAAAAGATCAGGAAGCTCTAGTGCACAGTCAGAGGAATCCAGCAGAATCACAGAATTAGGAAGTGCCAGACGCATAGGGACCCTAGAGATCTCCGGACTCCTCCTTCTATCACACAAAGGAGACAAGTGAGACCCAAGGGGATGGGAAGATGTATTCAAGGTCACACAGCCAGTGAAGGCAGAGCCAGGACCCAGATCATCTGAGATAAATTCCAGGCCCTTTCTTCACTGGATTAGGTGTTGCAAACTACAGCCCATGGGCCAAGGCTGACCTGACATTTATTTTTATATAGCTCCTGAACTTTATAAAAATAATTTTTGTATTTTCAAAGAGTTGTTAAAAAAAAAAAAGAATATGTGATAGAGATTGTATGTGGCCTGCAAAGCCAAAAACATTTACTATATGGCCCTTTATAGAAAAAGTTTGCTGGCTGGCATGCTGGCTCACACCTGTAAACCCAGCATTTTGGGAGGCTGAGGCAGGAGGACTGCTTGAGCCCAGAAGTTCAAGACCAGCCTGAGCAACATAGTGAGACCTCATCTCTATACTAAAAATAAAAAAATTAGCCAGGGGTAGTGGTGCACACTTGTAGTCCCAGCTACTCAGTAGGCTGAGGCAGGAGAATCTGTTGAGCCCAGGAGGTTGAGGCTTCAGTGAGCCGTGTTCACACCACTGCACTCCAGCCTGAGTGACAGAGTAAGATCCTGTGTAAACAAAAACAAAAACAAAAACAAACGAACCACCACCCCAACTACTCCCCCAAAAAAAGAAAAGAATAAAGGTTTGCTGGGATAATAACTATATCCCCAGATTCTAACTCTCCCATAAGGACCCTGGAAGCCCTAGTCCCTCATTCCACCTTGCCCCAACACCAAATACACACCTGCTCTGCCTTCTTGGCCTTCTCCTTCCCTTGTTTGGGAGGCTCCTTTTCCTTTATAATTTCTTCTTCTTTATCCTCCTCTTCATTGTCCAGAGCAGCGAATTTATTTTGAGGCTAATAGGGAAAAGACAGGTCTGATGAAATGTTTTTTTTTTTTTCTTTTTTTTTTTTTGAGACGGAGTCTCGCTCTGTCACCCAGGCTGGAGTGCAGTGGCGCAATCTCGGCTCACTGCAAGCTCCACCTCCCGGGTTCACGCCATTCTCCTGCCTCAGCCTCCCGAGTAGCTGGGACTACAGGCGCCCGCCACCACGCCCGGCTAATTTTTTTTGTATTTTTAGTAGAGACGGGGTTTTACCGTGTTACCAGGATGGTCTCGATCTCCTGACCTCGTGATCCGCCCACCTCGGCCTCCCAAAGTGCTGGGATTACAGGCGTGAGCCACCGCGCCCAGCCCTGATGAAATGTTTTAATTCCTGGGCCCCAATACCTCCTCCTGCTAGTTACTCTCTCACCTTAGCCTTCCCTTTTGACTTCTCTTCCTTTCCCTTTTTGCCCTTGAGTGCAGGCTGCTGTTCCTCAGATACGGCCTGGAGGAGACACACATACACATTACACACATACATACAAATTATTGTGCTACTTTGCTGTGTAATAAGCATTTCTAGAGAGTCTACTGTGTTAACCATACACATGCTCCTCCATTTACGACAGGTTGCATCCCGATAAACCCACCAGAAACTTAAATAAAAAATGATAGTTCTTGGCCGGGCGTGGTGGCTCACACCTGTAATCCCAGCACTTTGGGAGGCCAAGGCAGGTGGATCACAAGGTCAAGAGATCGAGACCATCCTGGTCAACATGGTGAAACCCTGTCTCTACTAAAAACACAAAAATTAGCTGGGCGTGGTGGCACGTGCCTGTAATCTCAGCTACTCAGGAAGCTGAGGCAGGAGAATCA
Source organism: Homo sapiens (assembly GCF_000001405.40). Lineage (NCBI taxonomy): Eukaryota > Metazoa > Chordata > Mammalia > Primates > Hominidae > Homo > Homo sapiens. Next base: position 1,880,320 of record NT_167249.2, on the reverse strand, counting down.
CTTGAACCCGGGAGGCGGAGGTTGCAGTGAGCCAGGATTACGCCACTGCACTCCAGCCTGGCAACAGAGTGAGACTCCGTCTCAAAAAAAAAAAAAAAAAAAAAATAGTTCCAACTTATGATGGGTTTATCTGGATATAATCCCATCATGAGTTGAGGAGTACCCTAAATGAGTATGACTTTCACACCATCATAAAGTAGAAAAATCGTACACCGAAGCAGAAGTTGGAGACCATCTGTATTGAGTGCTGCTGACGAAAAATGAGACCCAGAAAAACCCTACCCTCCAGCTTCAGACTAGATAGCGAAGAGATAACTAGGGAACGTCAGCAAGGCTAAGGATTATAAGTCAGGCAAGTGCGCCACCAGAGTGAGTGGCACTAGCACTGGAGGCTTTCTCAAGAGCTCAAATGGACATGGACTAAGATGCACACGCAGAAGAGTCACAAGTAGAAGAGCAAGGACCTGGGGCTTTGTTTCAGGTTCTGTGCTTAAAGCAACAGAATCACTGTAGATTTCTGAGTGATAAAAATGGCATGGTTTTTTTTGTTGTTTTTTTTTTGAGACTGAGTCTTGCTCTGTTGCCCAGGCTGGAGTGCAGTGCCTCAATCTCAGCTCACTGCAAATTCCACCTCCCAAGTTCAAGTGATTCTCCTGCCTCAGCCTTCCAAGTAGCTGGGATTACAGGCGCACGCCACCACGCCTGGCTAATTTTTGTATTTTTAGTAGAGATGAGGTTTCGCCATGTTGGTCAGGCTGGTCTCGATCTCTTGACCTCGTGATTCGCCCACCTCGGCCTCCCAAAGTGCTGGGATTACAGGCGTGACCCACTGTGCCCAGCCTGGGCATGTATTCTAAAAAGATGATTTTAACAGTATAAGTAAGACAGACCGAGAAGAGCTAGTTTAAAAGCGGGAAATTACTCCACCATGGCCAGAAGGTGCTAAATGGAGTGAGAGTGACTGATCGAGCCACCACTGTCACCTTATTGATCCGATTCTTCTCCGGCTTGGCAGGCTTAGGAGGATGTTTTTCTTCCTCCTCCTCTTCCTCACTCTGATCCTGAATCAGGGCTGCAAAAACATTACCACCCTAGAGAATGAAAGGGCCACAGAAGTCAGTAGGATGGTCAAGGTTGCATCCTTGGAGTCTCCGTTTACCACACAGATGGCTTACCTTGGTTTTCTTCCCTCCGCGGGGTTTTGGGGCGGGTACTGAAATGACAGGGGGAGAACATGAGATAGGAAAGAATTACAATGTCTGGCCCCCCAATTGAATCCAACTTGAAGATCAGGGTATGAGGTATCACTCTCCATGACTCATGGATTCCAGGTACCCATTCCCCCTCAGGTCATTTACCTTCATCCTCCTCATCACTGGTTGGCACTGAGAGCTTCTTAAGACGCTCCATGAGCTCTTTCTCTTCTCCATCATCATCCACATCCTTCTTCCGCCTGCCTTTTCGGGTATCTCGCTTTTTTTTTTGCTGCTGAGAGCAAAAGAACAGTGAGAAAATGAAGCCCAGGCCCCTGCTGTATTTCTGCCTCACAGAGGGTTCCCCATCAGCTGAATGGAGCAACATGGGCTGGAAAGGGGTTGGTGGAACCCAGATGCCTCCCAGGATTGGTGGGCCCTGTGGCACTTGTACCTGCTGTTGCTGTTGCTGCTGCTGCTGCTCCTTCTCCTTGAGCACTTTCTCTTCTTCCCCAGCCTGTTTATCTTCTACTGCCAGCTCTTCAAAGAACTATAAAGGGAGTTAAGCTACAGGTAAACATGTTTCCAAGAGCAATCCAAGCAGGCTGTGCTCTGCCACACATTGGCCCACTGGCCCTCCACTCCACCCTCACCTTACCTCCTGTCTCTCTCTTTTTTTTCTTTTTGTGGAGAATGGAGTGTGCAGGTCTCAAATTCCTGGGCTTAAGCTATCCTCCCACCTCTGCCTCCCTAAGCGCTGGGATTACAGGTGTAAGCCACCGTGCCCTGCCTATCTCCTCTCTTGACAAGATCTTTTCTCCTCCCTTGGACCTCCCACCTCCTTCACATGGCTATTTATTTAGCTTGGAAACATCCATAGTCATTTCTTATCCTCAACCCTCATTTTCTCACCGTTTTTTTGATCTTCTTGTCCTTCTTCCCTTTCTTCACCACTTTGTCTAGAAAGTTAAGCGGACATCGTGAATGCTTATCTGCAAATTCCAAAGCAGTCTGATCCCCCCTGCAAAGATCTCTGTAGCCTCTATCCTATTTTATTATTTTTCTAGCTTAACTATCACTCCTTAAATATTTGTACTGTCTCACAACTCCTGCAGAAATAATAATTCCCATCTCTATTCATTCATCCACTAAGTATCTACTAGACAGCTACCATGTGTCAGATATTGTGCTAGCGTAGGGGATTATAGCAATGAACAAGACAAATGTGGTCTCCTCTGGAGCTTGCAGGCTATAGGAAGAGAGATTTTTAAATAGGTAATTCCAGGTGTACTGAAGGTTCCAAAAGAAAAGGTAAAGCCTACTTGGTGGTGGGGGAGAGGCTGGCTTCATCTCTGGTGGCGGCCTCTCTAAGAAGATGGCATTTAAGCAAATAACTGAAGTAATGAGGAGTATGAGAAGTTAGTCAGACACATGGTGTAATTCCAGTGCTGTGCACAGGCCCAGCTGTGAGAAAGCACACACACTGAGAGACAGGGAAAGGTTTGGTATGGCTAAGCTTACAGACTGAGGGGAGAATGGTGCAAGGTAAGGCTGGAGTGAGGGCCTTGTAGCAAGGTTAAGGAATGGGGACTTTATTGGTATGATCACTTTCACACTTTAAAGTTTCACTCTGGCTTCAGAGTACAGCAAGAATCGGAGGGAATAAGCATAGTGGGAAATCCACTGGGGAGGCTGTCAGAGTAGTCTGGGTGGTGGTGACAAGCGGACATAAAGAAGAATTCATAGGATGGGGCTAGAGGTGGGGAATAAAGAGCACCCGGCCGGGCGCGGTGGCTCATGCCTGTAATCCCGGCACTTTGTGAGGCAGAGGCAGGCGGATCACTTGAGGTCAGGAGTTCAAGACTAGTCTGGTGAACATGGTGAAACCCAGTCTCTACTAAAAATACAAAAAATTAGCCAGGCATAGTGGCGGGCGCCTGTAATCCCAGCTACTCAGGAGGCTAAGACAGGAGAATTGCTTGAACCCAGGAGGCGGAGGTTGCAGTGAGCTGAGATCACGCTATTGTACTGCAGCCTGGGTGACAGAGCAAGACTCTATCTCAAAAAAAAAAAAAAAAAAAAAAAAAAAAAAAAAGAGCACTCAGAGATGACTCCTGTGTTTTTAGCTGGCAAAATTAGCTGGGCTAAGTGGTACCATTTATTAATTAAGGAGGCAGTGGAAGAGAAGGTCTTATAGGAAGGAAGAAGATATTATAAATTCAATTTGGGAGATATGTGTAGATACACACACATGTATACAACACACACACACCCTCCTTTTTTTTTTTTTTTTTTTAAGAGACAGGGTCTTGCTCTGTCACCCAGGCTGGAATGCAGTGGCATGATCATAACTCACTGTAACCTTAAATTCCTAGGCTTAGGTGATCCTCCCACTTTAGCCTCCTGAGTAGCTAGGACTACAGGCAAGCGCCACCATGCCTGCCTAATTAAAAAAATAATAATTTTTAGAGAGGAGGTCTCACTATGTTGCTCAGGCTAATCCTGAACCTCTGGCCTCAAGCAATTCTCCTGCCTCAGCTTCCCAAACTGTTGGAATTATAGGCCTGAGCCACTGTGCCTGGCCAGGGGGACACGTTGTTTGTAAAACCTATAGGCCATGTAAATAGAGTTATCTGGTAAGCAAATGAACACCTCAGTCTATGCCTTACTTGTTCTGCTTGAATATTATAGCACAAATCACATTGTGTCATATTTACCTGTCTGTGTGCTTTCATTCTAGAGAGTAACCTGAGAGACTGTTTAGCCTGTGTTCCCAGTAAAGCCAAAACAGATTCAACAGATTCTAGCTCTCCCCCTCTCCATCCTTGTTTCCCTGAAGGTAGAGGACCATGTCCAACTCCCTCCCCTACTGGAGGCAGCCTCATGATTTCCCTTCAGGCTTAGGCCTATTTATTATCTTCTCTTCCAAAACATCCCTTCCATTCACTGCTATCTAATTCTACCCTTAAGCATTTCAGTATTTAATATTAAAAAAAAAAAATTGGTCGGGTGCGGCGGCTCAGGCCTGTAATCTCAGCACATTGGGAGGCCAAGGTGGGTGGATCACAAGGTCAGGAGATTGAGACCAGCTTGGCCAACATGGTGAAACCCCATCTCTACTAAAAATACAAAAATTAGCTGGGCGTGGTAGAGCACGCATGTAGTCCCAGCTACTTGGGAAGCTGAGGCAGGAGAATCGCTTGTACCTGGGAGGTGGAGGTTGCAGTGAGCCAAGATCGCGCCACTGCACTCCAGCCTGGGTGACACAGCGAGACTGTCTCAAAAAAAAAAAAAAAAAAGAAAAAAAGTCAATGGTATCCGCCATCTACTACATTAAAATATTCTCAGACTAGAATTCCATGTATTTCAAAGTAATCATTTATTCAGGAAAGTTTTATGGTGCATCTACTTCTCCAAAAAACTAGAGTTAACGAGAGACAATTCCAATAATTAAAGGCTTCACAGACTAAAATGGCCCTACCCTATCTTTTCTGTTTCCCTACCCACACCTCTGGTCTCGATACTGGCTTCTTTCTGTTCCTTTATGAAGTCCCAGGCACGCTTATGTCTGTCTTTGCTTAATCTGCATCCTCCATCCAGAACACATTTCAAAGTTTGGGGCCCTCCTCCTCCCCAAAAAACAAACCACAAAAAACAAACAAAAAAGTTAAAGAAAAAAAATCTGAGCCCAGTATTGGGTGACTAGTGTGAGAGTTGAAAAATTGTGCAGGATTAATAATAAAAGGCTTTATATGCTATTCCAAGGAGTTTAATCCTAAAGGCATTAGGAGGAAGGATCTACTGAAGTACCTAAGAAGGAAAAACCTGATCAGCTCACCTTATCAACACAGATGACTGACTCATCCCAGACACTAATTTCTCCCCAAGGACTAACACAGCCATACCATCTCTCCTTCCTTTAAATCTCTTTTGTGGCCAGGCACACTGGCTCACGCCTGTAATCCCAACATTTTGGGGACCAAGGTGGGAGGACTGGTTGAGGCCAGAGGTTCAAGATTAGCCTGGGCAACATAGCAAGACCTCATCTCTACAGAAAACAAAAAACAAAAACAAACAAAAAATAAGCCAGGCATGGCGGTGTGTGCCTGTAGTCCCAGCTACAAGGGAAGATGGCTTGAGCCTGCGATTGAGGCTGCAGTGAGCTGAGATCGCGCCACTGCACTCCAGCCTGGAGTGAGGCTCCGTCACAAAAAAAAAAAACCCACCAAAACCAAAAAAATCTTTTGTACTTTAATCACTCTTATCCACTTCATTATAGGGACAGGAAAAGCCTCTGAAGAGTTTCATTGTGAGAAAGTATAATCCCCAAGGAACTGAAAAAGATTAAGTGTGGCTAGAGATATACTGTGTCTTCTCTCCTTTCGTATATCGCTTAAGCTGCTCCTTCAAGGCAAGAAAGCAAGCCTTCTTTACCCTTATACCCCTCTCCCCCATTACTGTTTCGTATTCTTGTCCTCATTGGGTCTCAAAATCGTAATTCACAAGCTTCACTTTCTCTTCTCCCATACCTTTGAAACATACTGCAATCTGGTATCATCTCCGAATGAACACTACTTCTGCCAAAGTTGCCACTGAACCCTTAGCTCCTCAAACCACAAAGTATTTTTTGGTCCTTATTTTGCCTGACTTCTCTGCAGCATTCCATGCTGCCTACCTCCACACCTTTTTTATTCTCTTCTATCATTATTTAATTTCTGGGATCTTGCTCACTCCTGGTTTGCCTCCAGTTTCTCTGGCTGTTTGCCTTTCTCAGTCTCATCTCTTCAGCCTCCTTCCCCACCTGCTTCCTGCAATTGCTGAAGTTCTTTAGGGTTCCCACCTTTAACCTTCTTTTTGGTTCAATCTGCAAACACTCTCTAGGGGACTCTTCCATATCCAGCACTTCAACTATACTTGCCTGTGTCTTTACTCCTAGTATAGTTGTCTCTCCACAGTGACTAAACAAACTCTCTTCTTGCCATTTCCTTTTAGAAATCCTCAGAAACGCCTAACTCAGCATTCAGAAGTTCACCTTATCTCTTTCCACTTCTTACTCTCCTGTCCATTACTGCTTTCAGTTAATAGTCTACTAGTCACTGGGTTACTTAAGTGTCAACCTTACTTCTCCCTTCATTTAATCAGTTCTCAGTTCCGATCAATGCCGCCTCCTTAGTAACTCTTTATTCTTCAGGCCTTGGCTTATCCCCTTACCACTTCTCACCTAGATCATGGCCAGAGCCCCCTAAATGGTCTCCCCACCTCCATCTTGACCAGTTCAAGGCCATTCATTCTCCATTGCTCAGTGCTACAGGTGAACTGTTCATAATCATTCCTTATGCACTTCAATGGGCCTTCCTTCTTAATGTCTTTAGGATTAAACTCCTCGGAATGGCATCTAAAGCCTTTCATTATCTGTCTCCTGAGCATCTTTCTGACTTCATCACACTAGTCACCAGGCTCTAGTGGGACCAGTCAGGCTTGCCTACATCTCTACCTTCCACAAACTTCCTTGGCTTGGAATGCGCTTCCCCTTGCTAATTCACGATGATCTTTCAAGAATAAACTCTGGGGAGCAGATGTAGTGGCTCACGCCTGTAATCCCAGCACTTTTGGAGGCTGAGGCAGGAGAATTACTTGAGCCCAGGAGTTTGAGACCAGCCTAGGCAACATAGCCAGATCTTGTGTCTACAAAAAATTTTAAAAATAAGGTGTGGTGGTGCATGCCAGTAGTCTCAACTACTTGGGAGACTGAGGCAGGAAGATCCTTTAAACCCAGGAGGTGGAGGCTGCAGTGAGCCATGTTCATGCCACTGCACTCCAGCCTGGGTGATGGAGCTACAATGTGCCTCAAAAAAAAATACTCAGCTATTACATATTCTTGGGAGGCTTTGCTGACACTCCCTTACCTGTCTGAGTAGATGCTCCTCCTCTCTTCTACAGTCCCATAACATTCTTAAGCACCTTCATCATACTCTGACAACCACTGTCTGTCTGGTTAATGCTCTGACCCTTCACCATACTGGGTTGTCCCTTGAGGGAAAGTCTTATCTTTTATCTCTACATTCCCACTTCCTCCACACAGTACCTGGTATACAGTAGGCATCCAATAAGTGCTTTTAAAATTAGTTACTGTGTACCTACTGGGGTTAGTTGTGTCCATTTATGTCCCCCTTAAAACTGACTTCAACCCTGGGAAGATATCTTCATGTTTTTTTCCTTCCCCTCTCAAAGCACAGTATATAGAGTGCTTAATTAAAAACAAGCGCTTAACAAACTTTCGCTGCTTTTTAAGTAAACCTTAACCCTCATTCCAACATCAAAAATCTACACTCTTGCTCCAGTTGAGTGAGAGGGGTGTCTTAAGAAAGAAACCATGAAGGAGTCACCCTCTCTTGAGAAACAAGGGGGATCACAGGCTCCCAAGGTGTGTGTATGCGCGCGCAGGGGGAAGGGGAGGTCGAGGCAGGGCTCATATATTCCTGGTGGAATACAGTGTATGGTGGGGCGGATGTCCAAATTTTTTAAGCAAGGTTTTCCCATTTCTCCCCATCTCTCCCTCGGTGCCATATGCTCTTTCTTTTATCTCGCCCAGTCTCACTTAGGTCACGTGCGACATCTGGATCTCTTTCCTTTAACCCCGATTCCAAACCCACTCCTCCCCGGCAAACTCCTCCCGGGCCCACGGCACGCATGCGCAGTAACTCCCGCACGGGCCCGGTCAGTCTCGTGCCCCATGACCCTCTCTTAAAACACGCGCAGTCTCCTCTCTCTTCCCCCTCTGCTCGTTTCTTCCTTGCCTACCAGCCTCACCTGATGGGCTCGTGCTCTCTCCGTCCCCGATCCACTCGGGCTCCGGCGGCTGCTGCTTGGGCGCCTTCGGCATCGCGGTGGCAGTTACAGCTACTGTGGCGGCGCCCGGTGCTATTTCCGCTTCCGGCGGCGGGGAACCCCGATGGGGCTGGCTCTCCAAGCTGGCGCGGCCAACCCCGCCCCCGGGCTGCGCACGTGCGAGCTTCGCCGTCATCTCGGGGGCGTGGCCCTGGTTCAGTGGAGGCGTGGCCTGCAATGACGGAGCGGGGCCGGCGTCCGCTTGCTCCAGTCGCGTAAACACATGGCGTTTACGACTGTCTGGGAAGCCTGACGCCGTGACCTCCCGACGCCGCGAGACTCAAGGAATGAACATAATAATTTCCTACTAGTATGAAGGAGTTGAGGCATACTGTTTTTTTGTTTGTTTTGTTTTTTGTTTTTTTAAAAAGCATATTCTAGTTTCTATCTGTAACTCGTTTCTAGTTCTGCCACCGCGATGCCGAAGGCGCCCAAGCAGCAGCTGCCGGAGCCCGAGTGGATCGGGGACGGAGAGAACACGAGCCCATCAGGTGAGGCTGGTAGGCAAGGAAGACACGAGAGGAAGGGGAAGAGAGAGGAGACTGCGCGTGTTTTAGGAGAGGGTCATGGGGCGCGAGACTGACTGGGTCATGGGCAGAAAAGACAGTGCAGACCAATGGCTAAGGGAGAGGTCTGATCGGTCCAGTGTTGAAATGTGTCACAAAATCCCGAAGTGTACAATTGTAAACAGGGAACTGGAGCCCAACATGCAGAAGTCACGGTGCAGTGGAGCTTCGGTTCATTTATTTTTTTTGGTAACAGCTTTACTGAGATATAATTGACATACAATAAACTGTACACAAAATAAAATGGCACCCAAAATAAACTGCAAAGTATCACTTAAATAAGTTTTGACCTGCATAAACCCAGTAAACTATCACCACAATCAAGACTTTGGTTCACTTCTAACTCTACCACTTAATATGGGAGCTTGAGCAAGGTGCTCCTGTAGTTCTGTCAGCTCTCAAACCACTACAATCATGCTTTTGTTGCCACCATTGTCTGAATTCACACTTGCCAAAGTCAACAGATCTGGGGCCATCCTACTCACTCTCCCATCAATGTTTGATAGACTTGGTCGCTCCCTCCCTCCTTTGTTTTCTTCAGGGACACTACTCTCTATAGGTTTCCTTTGCATCTAATGGGCTTCTCCTGAAGTCTAAATGTTGAAGTGCCTCAGGGCTAAATCTTTGACACTCTCCTTAATCTAGACTTATCACCTATCACCTCCTGACTTTAAATACCATCTATAACCAATGAAGATTCCCAAACTTCTCTTGCTGGCCCCCAACTTCTGCCCCGAGCTCCAGGCTCATGAATTCAACTGCTTATGGGACATCTTCTCTGAGATCTTTAATAAATCTCTCTCATACGTACAAAATGGAGCTCTTGTTCTTACTCCTAAATCCTGTCTCTTCCAGGCTTCCCCATCAAGAAATTGCACCACAGGTCATTCAGTTATTTGGGCCAAAACTGAAAGGTCATCATCCTCTTTCTCCATTCCTCCTCCCCTAATCAATCCATCAGCCAGCTAAGTCTGCCTCATTTTTTCATTCATCTGTTCAACAAATATATTTATTGAGTGTATAGTATGTGCCAGGCACTCTTCTACGCTCTTGGGATACTACTGAATAAAATAAAGATCTCTGATTACGTTTCCAGCAGGGGAGATGATCCTATAGATAAAAGAAAATATGGATCAAGTTTAAAAGTATCAAGAGGACAGATTTTAGTCTTAAATGAGGCCTCAGTAAAGTGAAATTCAAGCAAATCATTAAAGAAGATTAGTTTTGGCCACATGGATTTCCAGGAGAAGGGCCTTTCTAGCATAAGAAACAGCTGGAGTAAAGCCCTGTGACAGGAGTGTTCGGACATACATGGGGAACAAACAGGAAGGAGGCAAGAGGGGCTGGAGTGGCATGAGTGAGCCAGAGTTGTGGGAAAGGTGAAAAGAGAAGTAAAGCAGGGTCTGGATTGGGAAAGGTCTTTTAAATTATCTTAAGGATTTTGGCTTCTTCTGTTGATTTAAATGGAAGTCACTGCAGAGTTCTGAGCAGAGTGATGTGATCCAACCTACATTTTAAAAGGATGACCTGGGCTGGGGCGCGGTGGCTCATGCCTGTAATGCCAGCACTTTGGAAGTCCTAGATGGGTGGATCACGAGGTCAGGAGATTGAGACCATCCTGGCTAACATGGTGAAACCCCATCTCTACTAAAAATACAAAAAAGTTAGCTGGGCGAGGTGGCGGGCGCCTGTAGTCCCAGCTACTGGGGAGGCTGAGGTAGGAGAATGGCATGAACCCAGGAGGCAGAGCTTGCAGTGAGCCGAGATCCCGCCACTGCACTCCAGGTTGGGCGACAGAGCGAGACTCCGTCTCAAAAAAAAAAAAATAAAATAAAATAAATAAAAGGATGACCTGGCCAGGTGCAGTGGCTCACACCTGTAATGCCAGTACTTTGGGAGGCTGAGGCAGGAGAATTGCCTGAGCCCAGGGGTTTGTGACCAACCCAGGCAACATAGCGAGACCCCTTGTCTCCGTATATAATACAATTTTTTAATTTTTATTTTATTTTATTTTTTTGAGACAGAGTCTTGCTCTGTTGCCCAGGCTGGAGTGCAGTAGCGTGATCTCGGCTCCCTGCAACCTCTGCCTCCTGGGTTCAAGCAATTCTCCTGCCTCAGTCTCCTGAGTAGCTGGGATTACAAGCGTGCGTCACCATGCCTGGCTCATTTTTGTATTTTTAGTAGAGACGGGGTTTCACCATGTTGGTCAGGCTGGTCTCGGACTCCTGACCTCGTGATCCGCCTGCCTCGGCCTCCCAAAGTGCTGGGATTAGAGGCGTGAGCCACCATGCCTGGCCTATAACATTTTTTAAATTGTTAAATAAAAAGGATGACTCTGGAGGCTGTGCTGAGAACAACCTGGGCGGGAGGTGGGAGGGGGCAGGCAGCAAAGAATGGGCAGAAATGACAGAAGCAGGGAGATCTATTAGGAGGTGATGGTGACTCAGACTAGGGTGACAGCAGTGGAGGTGTGAAAAGGGCTGGTTTCTGAATGTATTTTGGAAAAGAGCCAACAAGTTTTGTTAATGGATTGGAGGTCATGTTTGACAAATAGAATTAAAGATGACTCCAATATTTCTGGCCTGAGTTAACTAGAAAGATGTAATTGCCATCAACTGAGACTAAAACATAACCCAAATTTAACCACTTCTCTCCACCTCTACCCTGACCAAGCCATCGTCTCTTCTCCCTGGACCACTGCACTGCGCTGGCCTCCTAACTGGTCTGCCTGCTGTCATTCTCATTCTCTAGTCTATCCTTCACACCTACAGTCAGAGGTGGTTTTAAAATGTAAATCCATGGGCCAATCGCGGTGGCTCACGCCTGTAATCCCAGCACTTTGGGAGGCTGAGGCGGGCGGATCAAAAGGTCAGGAGTTCAAGACCAGGCTGGCCAACATGGCGAAACCCTGTGTCTACTAAAAATACAAAAATTAGCCAGGCGTGGTGGTGGGCGCCTGTAGTCCCAGCTACTTGGGAGGCTGAGGCAGGAGAATCACTTGAACCCGGGAGGTGGAGGTTGCAGTGAGCTGAGATCATGCCACTGCACTCCAACCTGGGTGATGGAGCAAGACTCCGTCTCAAAAAGAAAAAAAAAAAAAGTAAATCCATTTGTTCAAAGTATAAAAATATTTAAAAAAGTATAAAATCCAGAATAAAATCCAAATGCTTTACCATAGTTTATAGGGCTCTGTACAATATGCCCTCTGTTAAACATCTTGATCCCATCTCCCACAGTCTAGCCACACTGGGCTTTTTTTTTTTTTTTTGAACCAGGATCTTGGTCTGTCATTCAAGCTGGAGTGTAGTGGTATAATCATAGCTCACTGCAACCTCAAAGGATCCTCCCACCTCAGCCTCCAACTAGCTAGGACTACAGGCACACGCCACCAGGCCTGGGTACTTTTTAAACATTTTTGCAGACACAGGGTCTCACCATGTTGCCCAGGCTGGTCTCAAACTTCTGAGCTCAAGCAGTGCTCCTGCCTCAGCCTCTGAGAGTGCTGGGACTGCAGGCATGAACCACCACGCCTGGCCTGGCCTTCTATTTTTACTTCAAACACCCCAGAGTCATTCCTGCATCAAGGCCTTTGCCTTTGCTGTTCCCTGTGCCTGGAACGCACTTTCTCTGTGTGTTCATATGGTTTGTTCCCTCGTTTAATTTTCTCTCTATGTGTTACCTCCTCAAAGCAGCTCTCTCTTTGTATCAACCTGTTCTCTTCCACCTGTCACTCTCTAACCTCTTTTTTCACTTTATTTTCATTTGAAGCATTTACTATTACTTAAAATTATATTACCTATGTATATTGTCTATCATCCTCAAAGCAATGTAAGCTCCATATGGGCAGGGATTTTGTCCTTTTTATTGATGTAGCTCCAGCTCCTAAAACAGTGCTTGCCCTACAGTAGGCACTAAAGTGTTCACTGAAAGTATGCAAAGCTTGGCCAGGTGCGGTGGCTCATGCCTATAATCCCAGCACTTTGGGAGGCCGAGGCAGGTAGATCACCTGAGGTCAGGAGTTCGAGACCGGCCTGGCCAACATGGTGAAACCCCATCTCTACTAAAATACAAAAAATTAGCCGGGTGTGGTGGTGGGCACCTGTAATTCCAGCTACTCGGGAGGCTGAGGCAGGAGAATCGCTTGAACCACCCCCTCTCCCCCCCCAAAAAAGTATGTGAAGCTTAAATAAGACAAAGACAATGTCTATAAAGAGCTTAGCAGGGTACCTGGCACTGAGCAAGCAGCCAGGTGACGCCACACTCTGAGATCTCTCCCTGCCTCTCCGTCATCCCTCCTTAGTCTCCTTGTCTGGCTTATCCTTGTCCTTCTTCACTTAGCAATTCAATGTCAGAGTTCCTCAAGGCTAAGTTCTGGGCCCTTCATCTACAGATTCCTCAGAGAGGTCTATCCTAGCCACCATGTCTTTTTTTTTTTTGGATATGGAGTCTCGCTCTGTTGCCCAGGGTGGAGTACAATGGTGCAATCTCGGCTAACTGCAACCTCTGCTTCCTGGGTTCAAGCCATTCTCCTGCCTCAGCCTCCCAAGTAGCTGGGATTATTTATAAATGCCCACCACCACGCCTCGCTAGTTGTTGTTATTTTAGTAGAGACAGGGTTTCACCATGTTGGCCAGGCTGGTCTCGAATTCCTGACCTCAGGCGATCCACCCGCCTCAGCCTCCCAGAGTACTGGGATTACAGGCGTGACCTACCGCGCCCGGCCACCATGTCTTGAGTAGCTCCCCAACTACTGTTTCTATTCAGTACCCCATTTATTTCCTTCATATGATTCATCTCAACCTGTAATTATATGTTTGCATACTTTTAAGAAAAACAGTCCCTGAGAATTGGGAACTGGCCTGACAATAACTGGCAGGCTTTGGTGTTGCTGGGAGCTGGCCTGTTGCCCATAGTTAGGCCATGGTACTCTTGTTGAACATAAACTATCTCACAGAAAATCAGTGTCAAACAAGGTCATCCTGTGTTTGTGATGAAATTAGACAAACTTCAAAATCTTGTCTAAGCACAAAAACACCACACAGTTCCCTGTCAGCTAAAATGTGTTGGCTTTTTTACCTTACAGCTTTAGCCATATTTCATTTCTCCCTCCTTCTAGATAAGATTAAGAAGTAGTCATCTTTCTGACAGCATCTAAGCCAGAACAATTTCCTGTTTCTTTTGAAATCACCAAACACAAACCCTAATCCTGTCATTCCTAGCCCCCTTTTAGGGAGATAACCTCTGTAGAATTAATAAACTCAACTTAAATGCTTGCCCATAAGTTGAGGAGTTATAAGTTAACTTTTAAGAAGTTTCTTCCGGCTGGGCGTGGTGGCTCACACCTGTAATCCCAGCACTTTGGGAGGCCGAGGCAAGCAGATCACCAGGTCAGGAGATCGAGACCATCCTGGCTAACACGGTGAAACCCCATCTCTACTAAAAACACAAAAAATTAGCTGGGCATGGTGGTGGGCGCCTGTAGTCCCAGCTACTCGGGAGGCTGAGGCAGGAGAATGGCGTGAACCTGGGAGGCGGAGCTTGCAGTGAGCCAAGATCATGCCACTGCACTCCAGCCTGGGCGACAGAGCTGAGACTCCGTCTCAAAAAAAAAAAAAAAAAAAAAAAAAGAAGTTTCTTCCCAGACAACTGGTGTTCTCAGCCCTTCCTCCATCCTGAGGCTTTGAACATGGATGAGGAAGCCAGAGCTTCACTTTGGACAGTGAATAGAAGCTTGTGGTTGTGAATCTGAAAGTTGGGGGTTGAGGTTCTGAATACTCAGGGACCTTGTAGTGGTGGCATTGTCACACATCTTGGATTGTTGATTGTCCACCTCTTGACCTGTGAGAGAAATAAACTTCTATCTTTTTAAAAATTATTTATTTTTATTTTTATTTTTTATTTATTTATTTTTGAGATGGAGTCTTGCGCTGTCGCCCATGCTGGAGTGCAGTGGTGCGATCTCGGCTCACTGCAAGCTCCGCCTCCTGGGTTCACGCCATTCTCCTGCCTCAGCCTCCCGAGTAGCTGGGACTACAGACGCCGGCCACCACGCCTGGCTAATTTTTTTTCTATTTTTAGTAGAGATGGGGTTTCACCATGTTAGCCAGGATGGTCTTGATCTCCTGACCTCGTGATCCACCCACCTTGGCCTCCCAAAGTGCTGGGATTACAGGCGTGAGCCACCGCGCCCAGCCATAAACTTCTATCTTAAGACTTCTTTTTAAATGGCAGTTACATAAGCCAGAACTACCTGGAGAAATCTGATACTTTTATTTTGACCTGTAATTTTCAAATGTCTACTTTTCTCCAACTCTACTACCCAAGTCTATGTCACCATCATGGCTCACTTGTACTACTGAAGTAGCCAGTAGCCTTCTAATTAACTTCCAGGTCCAAGGTGGGCCCTCTCCATACAAGCTGATTTTTTTTGAAAAGCCAGCCTAAGCCATGATACTCCTGTCTAAAATTCTTCAAAGGCTTCTGTTCTAAGAAAAGAGCCAAATCTTCATGTTTTCCAAGGCCCTGAGTGGTCTAACTCCTCTTTCTTCTGCATCATCTCCCACTGTCCCTAGGTTTCTTAGCTCCTCTTCCCCTAGGTCTTTTAGCGAAGACCTTTGCCTTGACTTCCCTCTCCCACCCCACCTCCTGTTTATCCTTTGGAGCTTGTCTCAGTTGCATCTCCTACCCTGACTCCCTTTATTACACAACTCTCTTTCACCCTCTTTTCTTCCCTGTCTTCTTCCCAGCACTTTTGACAGGTTTAACTTTACATGCTATTTGTGATTATGAGAAACCTGTCTTCCCTGTACATTTTAAATCCATTGGCTTTGGCTGTCAGTTATCTCTAGTGCTTGGTATATTGCCTGGCCCACAGGCATTCTGCAAATTGCTGCTGAAAGACTCCTTCATCATTACCACTCCATAAACACAAACTCTGCAAAGTAAAATATTTAAAAATAACTCCACGGACACCTGGCCTTTCCTTTTTCTTACAAAACTTTGCCCTTGAACATAAGGCAGCTTGTTCTGGTTGATGCCTACAGGCTAATGGAACCTCCATTGGTTTTTTTCAGCCTGGAAGAACCTTAAGCTTTGTCATTCCCCATCACTAGTGTGTATGAACTAAAGAATAAGCTGACTCCACCAGGTGAGAACAGCTTCATCTGCAACTCCAGAGATGACTAGAACACAGGGATTAAATAAAATGCTGGTTTCCACTGCATTTATTACTAATATAAAAAAAGTTAAAAAGAAAAAAAAAAAAAAAACCTCATTCTCAGTTCTCCAACAGCTCTCACCCCTCCCTCTTGCCAATACAACTCCTGACCCATTTCCTCAGGGCCAGTTCAAAACTGAACCTGTTCACTGCTGTTTTCACAGAAAACAACCAGTGCCAGGGATGTAGGGGAAGAGGATTGGAAGAGGGCAACAGTACTGTCCAGCTTCTACCCAAAGATAGGCAAGGTGGAGATTCACAGAATTCAAATGAATGGACTGGTGGCCTCACAATGACATAGTCTAATTAAAATGGGCTGGAAGGGATCTAGGTAGGATAAAGCCATTGGAGGCTTTATAAGACATGTCATGGGTCTGTGTCAGACTCAGAATAACCAACAGGAGAAGAATGGGGAGGGCCAGGGAGGCAGTCTGATGGAAAGTTCACAATTCTCCCATGTTGGGAAGTGGGAAAGTCCAGAGGGCACCAAGCGCCTCACTCATTTTGGCAGGAAAACTTATTCTAGTGCTGGGAAGTCACAAAAATGCCACGGACACTGAGAAAGGCTACAAGGGGATGCACAGTTTCACAAAGCACGGTGATCATAGATAGACCATAGCGGTGGGGATCATGCTACTGACAGAGAAACTATGAAATCCAAAGGCAGGGAGAGTGGCCTTTTAGGAAGTAACTCTGCACCAGTCACCCAAACTTGACCCCAGGTTAGACAACCTGGCTGAGTTTCACAAGCAGCTGACAACATTGGGGGTAGGGAATGTCACATAAAAAGGACTTAAAACAAGCAGCTAAAAGAAGGGAATGGTAGGAAACCGCTCCAGGGCTCTCAGGAATTGAGGGCAATACTGGGGAACAGGTGGACAGATGCACAAGAAACAGCACCAAAGAGGTTTCCTGTTCAGCAGTCATTTGATGACGGGAAAGAAGATCCAGGAGGCAACTGAAAGGAAGCAAAGAT
Organism: Homo sapiens; assembly: GCF_000001405.40. Taxonomy (NCBI): domain Eukaryota; kingdom Metazoa; phylum Chordata; class Mammalia; order Primates; family Hominidae; genus Homo; species Homo sapiens. Next base: position 1,863,481 of record NT_167249.2, on the reverse strand, counting down.
GGGTCCCGAAGGCGAGTCTCTACAGGCTGGATCAGAAGAAAGCGCGTATGCCGCGCACCAGTGATGCAACACCACTCTGGACCCCACACGGGGGAAGTGGTGGATGGGATGGGTGTGTCACTGACTGAGGGTGTTAGAAGAGCCTCACAGTAGCCATCATAGGGCTACAGAGAAATAAATGGCCGCTAGGTCACAGAGAGCTCCTTCCAGCCTGGATGGGAAGGCACAGTCTCACAGAGGAGGTCCATTGACGCCTGGGTGGTAGAAGGCACAGAGGTCCTCATATCGACAGTGGCCCTTTTTGGCAAAATGTCGGCAGACAGGGCGGTCGGATTTGTCTGTGAACAAGTGAAAATGGAACAGTTAAAAATTTGAGCAACAAAGAAAACAAATACAATGAAACGCAGAGACAGAAGGAGAACTGATTTTCTACCCCCTACCATTTCCAGGTATTTTGGAATGGTAGTCTTTCTCCTGGGAGAAATAACATTGAGGTCTACTTCTGCTTCAAAAGCAAAAAGGAAAGCCCAGAGAAGATTGTGAATGATCTTCTGAAAATTAGGTCACTCTGGGAGTAATGGGCATAACAAAATGGACCTCACCTTCCATAACCTGGGGGTCATCCTTGGGCGGGCAGGTATTCTTGATAAGAGACCAGCTTTTGAGCCTTCGAGGGTTTCTCTGTTCCTTGTGAAAGCTTCCCCTGGTGGGACCCCCATGGCCTGGCCCCGGAAAAGGAGGTTCTGCATTGACTCCCCACCAACCACGACCATATGGGCTAGACCTGGGGCCAAGCCCTCTCCGAATTGGGCCTCTACCCCAAGGAGGAGGTGGGAGACTCAGCAGTGGTGGAATCAGTGGTCCCCTTGATCCTGGAGGACCTCTGTGAAGAGCTGGAGAGAGAGAGAGAGAGAGACACAGAAAGGTGTCTAATGGGCAGCTGAATCCTGATAAACCGTGATTAAAAAAATTTTTTTTATTGAAGAACAGCATACATAAAGACACACCAGTTTTAAGTGCACAACCCAGTTCTCACAAAGTAGACACACTTGAGTTTCCACCACCAGGTGAAGAGATAAAGCCTTATTAGCACCTCAAAAGATCCTCCCCTTGTGCCCCTTTTCCCATTACCCACCCTCCTCCCCAAAGGTAACCACTATCCTGACACCATAGGTTAGTTTTTGCCTGTTTTTGAACTTCACAAAAATGGAATCATACAGTCTGCATTCTTTTATGTCTGGCTCCTTTCGCTCAACATCATGTTTGTGAGATTCATCCAGGTTGCCTGTAGCAGCAGTTCATTCATTTTCGTTGCAGTGTAGTCCCATTGCATGCATACACAACAATTTATTTATCCATTCTACTGATGATGGACATGTGGGTGGTATCCAGTTTGGGGCTATAACGAGAAATGCCACTATAAACATTTTTATACATGTTGTTACACATACGTATGCATTTCTGTTGAATATATACGTAGTAGAGGTATTACTGGCTTATAAAGTATATGTTATGCTCAAGTTTCATACATAATGCCAAACTTTTTTTTCACAGTGGTTATACCAATTTGCACTCTCACCAGCAGTTGTCCTATAGCCTTGACAACACTTGGAATTGTTAGGTTTTTAAATTTTGCCATGGTGAGTGTGAAAAGTGGTGGTTATTTTTTTGTTTGGTTATTATTATTTATTTAATGAGAGATTGGGTCTTGCCACACTGCCCAGGCTGGTCTTGAACTCTTGGGCTCAAGTGATCCTCCCACCTTGGTCTCCTAAAGTGCTGGGATTACAGGCATGAATCATCATGCCTTGTTTTGTTTGGTTTTTATTGTGGTAAAAAACACATAAAATTTACCATCTTAACTATTTTTAAGTGTACAGTTCAGTAGTGTTACATATATTCATATTGATGTGAAACAGATCTCCAAGTTTTTGTTTGTTTTTTGAGATGGAGTCTCGCTCTGTCGCCCAGGCTGGAGTGCAGTGGCGCGATCTTGGCTCACTGCAACCTCTGCCTCCTGGGTTCAAGTGATTCTCCTGCCTCAGCCTCCCAAGTAGCTGGGATTACAGGCGCCCACCACCACGCCTGGCTAATTTTTGTATTTTTAGTAGAGATGGAGTTTTACCATATCGGCCAGGCTGGTCTTGAATTCCTGATCTCATGATCCGCCCGACTTGGCCTCCCAAAGTGCTGGGATTACAGGCACGAGCCACCATGCCCGACCTCCAAAAGTTTTTTATCTTGCAAAACTGAAACTCTGTACCCATTAAACAAAACTCCCCTTCCTCCAGCTTCCTTCCCCCAGCCTCTGGTAACCATCATTCTACTGTTTCTTTGAAGTTGACTTTATTTTTATTTTTTGTTTTGACAATCTTGCTCTGTCATCCAGGCTGGAGTGCAGTGGCGTGATCTCGACTCACTGCAACCTCTGCCTCCCAGGTTCAAGCAATTCTCATGCCTCAGCTACCCGAGTAGCTGGGATTACAGGTGTGCACCACCATGCCCAGCTAATTTTTCTATTTTTAGTAGAGACAGGGTTTTGCCATATTGGCCAGGCTGTTCTCGAACTCCTGACCTCAAGTGATCTGCCTGCCTTGGCCTCCCAAAGTGCTGGGATTACAGGCGTGAAGCACCATGCCCAGCCCCTGAATTTGACTTTAGACACCTCAGATAAGTGGAATAATACACTATGTCTTTACTTAACATAAAGTCCTCAAAGTTCATCCATGTTGTAGTATGTGACAGCACTTTCTTCCTTCATAAGGCTGAATAATATTCCATTGTATGTACACGCCACATTTATCCTTCCATCAGTGGACATGTGGGTTGCTTCCACCTCTTTGTTATTGTGAATACTGCTGCTATGAACATGAGTCTGCAAATATCTCAAGACCCTGCTTTCCATTTTTTTTTTTTTGATATATACCTGGAAGCAGGAGTTCTGGGGTAATTCTATTTTTAATTTTTTTGTCATCTGGTAGTTCTATTTTTAATTAAGAGGAACCTCTTCATATTGTTTTCTATAGTAGTTTCACCATTTTATAATCCCAGCAGCAGTACACAAGAGTTCTAATTTCAAAGTGGTATATTTTTATCTTGCATTTACTTGACAATTAATGATATTGAGTACTTGTTCATTTAGACCTTTAGTTCATTTAGATCTCCATTTTAATAAGGTGTCCTGTGTTTTTGTCAATTTTTCAAATGGCTTGTCTGGAAGAGTTCTTTATATATTATAGATACAGGATCTTTATTTGTTATATTTATTGCAAATATCTTCTATTGTATGGCTTCCTGTTAATTTCTTAATGGTATTATTTGGCAAGTTTGTATTTTGTTTTTTCTTTTTTTTGAGACAGTCTCACTCTGTCCCCCAGGCTGGAGTGCAGTGGTGCAATCTCAGCTCACTGCAACCTCCGCCTTCCAGGTTCAAGCGATTCTCCTGTCTCAGCCTCCTCAGTAGCTGGGATTACAGGCACACACCACCATGCCCGGCTAATTTTTGTATTTTTAGTAGAGACAGGGGTTTCACCATGTTGGTCAGGCTGGTCTTGAACTGCTGACCTCGTGATTCGCCCGCCTCGGCCTCCCAAAGTGCTGGGATTACAGGCGTGAGCCACTGTACCCAGCCGCAAATTTATATTTTCTAACGGAGTTCCATTTATCAATCTTTCCTTTATGGTTAGTGTGTATACGTGCATTTCTTGTCTGTTTAAGAACTCTTAGCTACTCTTAGAAAATACATTTACTTTCTAGAATAATTATTCTCTTACCTTTTATACTTAGATCTACAGTCCATTTGAAATAGATCTTTGTATATGATTATGAGTGCAAGGTGAAATTCCATTTTTTTCACATGAATATCCAATTGATCCAATATCATTTATTGAAAAGACCAACTTTTCAGTTCCATCTTCATCATAAATGAAGTGTCCACACATGTATGGGCCTGTTATTGGACTCTTCGGGACATAAGTCCTATTGACTTATGTCTATCATTGTTTCCAAACTGCATCGTTGTAACTATTGTAGCTTTATAGTAAGTCTTTTTTTCTTCTTGTATTTAGAGACAGGATCTCACTATGTTGCCCAGAGTGGCCTCAAAAACTCCTGGGCTCAAAGGATCCTCGCACCTCAGCCTCCTGAGTAACTGGGACTACAGGCGTGTGCCACCATGCCCAGCTTACAAATCTTGATATTCATAGTAAGCCCTCCCACTTCAAGATTGTCTTGATAGTCGCCTTGATATTTTGCATTTCCCTATAATAATGTGTATTTCCACAAAAACATTATGGGTGTTCTGACTTGGAATGCATGAAATCTGTTTATCAATTTGGGAAGAAGTGACATTTTTACAACATTGAGTTTTTAAATCAGCAAATATACAACTTCTCTCCATTCATTTAGGGATGGAATCCCTGATCTTTTATTTTTAAGTCCTTCCTGGGTTTTATCCCCTCCCTTGCTGTCTTCTCTACGACCTAATACAAGGATCAGGGCCCCTTCCTCCTCACCTGACTTAGGGTCGCCAGGTTTTCCATTGGCCATGGGGGGAGGGCCCAGAAGGCTGGGTGGTCCTAAGAGCAGACATGAAAATATGGTCATCAGAATGGATTAAAGGACTGATGATTCTGTTCTTAGGTGTTTTTCTTGTATTACTTATTTCTTAATTCAACCAGTAAAGTCAGGTATATTTTCAGCAGTCTTGGGAGTTCTCACCCCATCTATCTGCCCTTTTTTCTGCAAAGCTGTTTCAGGGTTTGCAAAAAGTAGATATTCAATCAAAGGGGATAATGCAGGAAAAGATACTGACAACTTTTTTTCTTCACCGTACCGTCGCTATCCAAAACAACCTAAGTGTCTCCAGACATGAACCAATCCCTCACCTTAACTGCTGGCCAGAGGACTAGTTTAGAGAAAGCTGCACCTGTACCTTTTCAGTCAAAGTCTGGATACAAACTGTCATCCCAGTCATCGCAATCTGCAACATCTCTACTACCCCTTTCCCCTACTGTTCTGCGGCTGCGCAAAAGAGCTCTTTATTCTCTCCACCCCCGCCTTCTCCAGAAAGGTCTGGGGCCGTATTGAGGTTGATGGTTCCAGTAAGAGAACTCCTGGTTCAAGGCTCCATTTGGGAGAGCCCCACTTCCATCCCTCCCCAGCGCGTGCGCCCTTCCTCCTTCCGTTACAGCCCCCTCCTTCGCACCTTATTAGCCCCTAGCCCCTTGCCCGGACGGGCTTGACAGGCATGTGCACATCCCTCCCAGACCCCTCACCGATGGGACTCCCATCCTCCTCATCTCCAGTCTCTTCCCGCTCGGGCAGCGGGGGCTGCTGCTGTGTCGGTGGCTGGTGATGATTCTGCTTCTTTCGTTTCGGCATCGTGTCTGCGGCAATGGCTGCAGCGGGATTTGGAGGGTAGTGAGGAAGGGGCACGCGGGGATTCTGTTTCCGCTTCCGGGGGGTCGGTGGGCAGCAATGCTGAGGCTCCCGCCATTCCACTTCCGGAAGGTTGCGGAGAACATCTGCGGCGGCCGCATTCCGGAGCCAACTGCCTCCCTCCGTCTCTGCCAGGCATGGCGGCAACCTCACACCTTCCCTTTGCTGCGTTTCTATAAATGCTTTGAAAAAATTACTCTTTTCTTCCCTCGCTGGAAAACACCACAACCAGCTCCTCAGAGTGTGTCACAGAGTCAACAGGCTCTCGGGCCAGAGGGCCTGAGAAGAGGACTGTCGCACCGTAAGATCGCCACATCCGGTCCTCGGTTACTATGGTAACAGCTGCAGGCACAACTTCGTGCCCTTTGACCTCCCCCCAAAAGTCCTTGTCCCGCTTGGGTTTCCCTTCTCGCCCGCTTTTGCACTTATGATCTGTAAACCTGCTCCTTATCATCGTTCCCACAAGGAATTTGGGTCCCAACAGGTCGGCACCCAGGACTCTCAGACCGCCGCCCTCCCCTAAAGACCTCTGACCGTGCCCCCGGTGTAGTCCAGCAACCTGGACGCAGTCTCGGCTTTCCACTAAGGTCAAGCCCGGGGCTTTGTAGTATAGCCTCAGCGTGTCCACGCCCCCTCTCCCCTAGGTAGTAGGCCCCGCCCTCCGCTCCGCCGCCCCCTCCAGGTGAGTGGTAGGTTCTCCCGGGAGCGCAAGGTAGTGATGACACGCGCCCCCCCTCCTCCGAACGCGAGTTGGTAGCGTCCGTGACGGAGTTAGCCTGGTCCTCCCACGCGCGCCTCCTTCCTCGCCGCCGGGGCGCCCTCTCGGTGCCACTGGCTCTCACGTGCCAGTAGCCCACCCCGCATCATCCTCTCGCCTCGCTCCTGGAGGGAAGTGACTATATCTCCCCCGTCCGCCTTCCATCGCCGCCGCGGCGGTAATTCTGTCGGGCCCGCCCGCTGACGTCACCTGCTAGCCCCGCCTCCTCTAGGGTCCCGGGCCCCTGCGGCGGGGGCTGCCCCGGGGGGCAGTCAGTTGAGGCGGCGGGAGCTCGGCGGAGGGCGGGCCAGGTGACTGGTCCGGGCCATGCCGAGGAAGAAGCCATTCAGCGTGAAGCAGAAGAAGAAGCAGTTGCAGGACAAACGGGAGCGGAAGAGAGGTCAGTGCGGGAGCGGGAGGAGGGGGCGGGGCTCGGGCTTCCGCACATCTGGAAGGAGGGGTGTGCCCGCTGCACCTCTGGGGATCGTGGGAGGGGGTCGTGGGACCGCGTCAACCCTCGCGGCCTATCGCGGAGGGGATCCCCCACCCCCCCTACATCTGGAAGGGGTGGGGAAGGATGGAGAGTTGGGGGAGGGGAATCCCTCCAGCTAGCACGGGGCGCCGTCCCCACTGCTCCCTGAAGGAGTGACTCCCCCCACGCACATCCGGGAGGGTCCCAAATAGGGTGTCTGGGAGGACTGAACATCGGAAGAAGTTGAGTGGGATGAAAGGGAGTCAGGCCGATGGGGGAGAGGGTCTTATGGCCCCTGAGAGCTGGCCAGCACTGGCGTCACCGGCCCCTCCCCGCAGGGCTTCAAGATGGGCTGCGCTCCAGTTCCAACAGCCGCAGCGGGAGCCGGGAGCGGCGAGAGGAACAGACCGACACCTCGGACGGGGAGTCTGTGACCCATCATATCCGCAGGCTTAACCAGCAGCCTTCTCAGGGGCTGGGTCCACGAGGCTACGACCCAAATCGGTGAGGGTGGGAGGGGGCGCTGGTCCCGGCTTTCCCGCCTACCCGGAAGTCAGAGCTTTGGGGGAAAGCGGGCTGCTACTGGTGAAGACGGTGGGCCTGGGATGCCACAGTTCTCCGCTAGCCACTCGGCTCCCCACAGCGGGCCACAGTCTTCCTTTCCAGAGGGGCTGGAGAGAGTTGGGCTTTTAGAAGGAGAAGGCTGAGTATTGCCTGAAAGAAGGACTTGGGGGAAGTCTGACTTGAGAGAGGAGACTTGAACGACTCTGGAGAGAATGGTTTGCGAAGTTGATTGTACAAGAGGGGAGAAAATAGGAGTTTGTGGCCACAGGATTGCTCTGGATGTCTCGGTCCCTGTTCCCTTAGATACCGACTGCATTTTGAGAGAGACAGCAGGGAGGAGGTAGAGAGGAGAAAGAGAGCAGCCCGGGAGCAAGTTCTACAGCCGGTCAGTGCTGAGTTGTTGGAGCTGGACATCCGGGAGGTGTATCAGCCTGGCTCAGGTGAGTGAGAGCAAGACAGGCATTGGGCTGGGGAAGGAGTTTGGAAAGGTAAAAGCCGACTGTGAGGAAGGAGGGGTCTGGGATGTACTCTTGAATCCTGAAGATTTCCTCACACTTGGACTTTTTCCTGAATTCCCAGTTCTGGACTTTCCTCGACGTCCTCCTTGGAGCTATGAGATGTCCAAGGAGCAACTAATGAGCCAAGAGGAACGGAGCTTCCAAGACTATCTTGGGAAGATTCATGGGGCTTACTCCTCTGAGAAACTCAGCTACTTTGAGCACAATCTGGAGGTGACAGTGTACTCTAGGGACAGGAGTGGGGCATAGTGACCTATGGTCAAATTGGTTTGGGATCAGGCTGGAGAGGGACTCTGTTTTCAGTTTCTCTTCCTGATCCTGTCTTTTTAGACATGGAGGCAGCTGTGGCGGGTGTTAGAGATGTCTGACATCGTCCTGCTTATCACTGATATCCGACATCCAGTGAGTACTAGGGATAAGGGTGGGCAAGGAGGAGGGAGAAAGGTTTTTCAGGGGCAAAGGTCAGAGGCAAGAGTTGGGAGACAGAGAGGTATCTATCTTCCTGTCTTTCTAATCTCTACCTAGTGCTGATGTCCGCAGTTAGGAACTCAGTTTTTTATTCTCTTATAGCCTGTCATTCCTCCCTTGGCCAGCTCACTCTTCTCTTCAAAACAGCCATGTCCTGTCCTTTAGCTCATCACAGACCAATAGAAAATCCAAGTGTTGGAGCTCCAGGGATTCTATGAATGCAGCTGGGGACTTCCTCCTGCCCAGCCCAAAGATGCCCTTTCTTCCTTATCTCATTTCTCTAGCACTGCCACATCAGTTGCTACAGAACCCACCTGGAATGCTAGAGTAGTAGTTAAGGCTGTAGACTGCTGCTGGACTGCCCTGTGTGAATCCTAGCTCTGCAACTTCACTCTTGTCCTCCAGTGGGAGAAAGGGAGGTCTGTGAGGACCATTTAGGTTGGAGGTCCTTAATAATATGTACACACACATACTCACACGTACATCATGTGCACATCAATATACACAGGCATGTTTGCACACATGTTCACAGTCACATTAACACACAAACATGCACACATGTGCACGTACTTGCATGCATGCATATATGCACGTGTACACACTTACATAGTTGTGCACACACAAAAAAGCAGACTAATTTCTACCCTAACCCCCATCCCTGTTTCCGATCCCAGCCTTTACCTCAGTGTGCTAAGTGATGCTGTTTCCTTGTCTTGTTTTGGGTTCATTTCCATCTCTAATCATGACCTATAGGAAGCCCTCTGAGACTCAGAAGTATTACTAACCCCTGTTTTGTCTTTGTTTTTCAGTTTGTCTGGTTTATAGTTTTTAGCCCAGAGTCTGCTACCACCAGGGCCTTGTCTCTGAGCTACACCTGCTGAGTGGGGAGCTGGAGGCAGAGAACTCTGGGTTGACTTTCACTGCTCCATCCTCTTATCAACTCTGTCCTAGGTTGTGAATTTCCCGCCAGCACTTTATGAGTATGTGACTGGAGAACTTGGACTGGCCCTGGTGCTGGTTTTGAACAAGGTGGATCTGGCCCCGCCAGCTCTTGTGGTTGCCTGGAAGCATTATTTCCATCAACACTATCCCCAGCTCCACGTCGTCCTTTTCACCTCTTTTCCTCGGGACCCCCGCACCCCACAGGATCCTAGTAGTGGTGAGTGGGCAATGAGAGAGGGCAACTTGGGAGAGGTGAGTTGGCAGGGGACAAGGGAGAACAGAGAGGCTTATTGACAAGGGGGCACCTGGTCTTGGGCCTAAGGGTGGTGGGAGAGATGAGAGGCCTAAGCCCGTGTGCCCATCCTTTTGTGCCCTCTGATCTCAGTCTTGAAGAAGAGTCGGAGGCGGGGGAGAGGATGGACTCGGGCCCTGGGGCCAGAGCAGTTGCTGAGAGCCTGTGAAGCCATCACTGTGGGGAAAGGTATGTGGCCCTTAGAGGAGGGCTGTAGGAGGACATGGGGGAGACCAAAGATGCAGAATCATTTTGCTCACCTTTCCTGAAGCCAACCCCTCTATGGTGGATATGTGCAAGAGGCCAGGGGAAGGGACAGAATAAGGAGCAGACTGACTTGGTGGGACGAGAGGCAGCAGGTAGTCAGGAGCCTCAGTGGCTTGCTGCCTTTAGCCTTCCCAGTACTTTTCAGAAGCTCAGAGAAACGTGCGTGATTCCAGGGAGGGTAGGGTCAAATGACTTTTGGGAGATTCTCTGACCTGCTCTTATTTAGGTTGGCACTGTACAACTCCAGAGGGTGCCAGTTACATAATCTGTGCAGGGCACAGTATGTGCCATCATGCACAGCAGCCCTGGGGAGAACCTCTTTAATCTTCTCCTTCTTTGAGCAGTGGACTTGAGCAGCTGGCGGGAGAAGATTGCTCGGGATGTGGCTGGGGCCACCTGGGGTAATGGCTCTGGGGAGGAGGAGGAAGAGGAGGATGGCCCAGCAGTCCTGGTGGAGCAGCAGACTGATTCAGCAATGGAGCCAACTGGCCCAACCCAAGAGCGCTACAAGGATGGGGTGGTGACCATCGGCTGTGTGGGTAAGGAAGTGGCAGCTTGTGCGTGGTGGCCTCCAAGGAGGTACAGAGTTTTCATATTCGGAGAAGAGAGAGGGCGATCAGGTCTCATTAGGCCCCAGGGTGTCTGAGGGGTGATCTCTGCCAGTGGCGGTGGGCAAGGCAGAAGAGGCGTCTGCTGCAGTGGAAGGATCATGACAGCCTGAGTTAAATTCCACCTCTTCTCAGCTGTGAGGTCTTGAGTAAGTGATTTTGCTACTCTGAGTCTTAGTTACTTTGATTTTAAAAATAAGGACATTGATACCTGAGTAAAAGAATGGATGACGGCCATGTGTGAGGGCTCATGCCTATATAGTCCCAGCGCTTTGGGAGGCTGAGGTGGGAGGATTGCTTGAGACCAGGAGCTCAAGACTAGTGTGGGCAACATAGTGAAACCCCATCTTTACAAAAGATAAAGAAAACTAGCCAAGTGTGGTGGTATGTGCCTGTAGTCTCTGCTACTTCAGAGGCTGAGGCAGGAGGATCACTTGAGCCCAAGAGTTCAAGGCTGCAGTGAGCTATGATTGTGCCACTGCACTCCAGCCTGGCTGATAGAGACCCTGTCTTTAAAAAAAAAGAATGGATGTGAGGAATGATGGGAATAGTGTTAAGAGAGTGTAAGAATGCCTGACAAATAGTGATAACAATAATAACAATTATTATTGTTAAAACTCAGTATTTATATGGTGCTTACTATGTAACAGGCACTGTTTTAAGTGGTTTATATAAACCATTTGAATTGTAGTAATTAGTCTGTAGTACAGTGATTATCAAATCATAGTAGGAGCTCAGCAAGAATTAGTATTCTTCTAGGTTTTAACCCTTTAAGTTTGTTGCCAAGGAGAATCTCCTCTTAAGGGCTTTGTCTCAGCTCACAGTGGAGGAAAAAGGAATGTATGATTAGGACCCAGGGCCCGTCTTCATTTAGGGTGGGAGAGGTAAGAAGAGACCTTGGACAAGTTATGGTATCCGAGGTGATATTGGAACCAAAAAGGGCCCAACCCAGAATAAATTTGGGAGTGTGGAGTAGGTAGTTGGGTTCCTTGGAAGTGCCCTGACTTATCTCTGTGTCCTTTTTGTCTTTGGAAGAACCTGCCTTACTGCTGAGTGATTGCTCCTCTTTCCAGTCATTTCACCCGGCTGTCCCTTCCCTGACTTCTGATCCTAGTCTCCCTGTCACAAGGAGCCTCTGTTCCCTCTCTTAGCAGCCTCTGCTCTAGCTGATCTCTATTCCAGGTGGTGTGAGAGGGAGAGTGTTTGCTGTGGCACAGGCACCCCTGAGTTTGGATTTCCCTCCAGCTCTCATTCATTTACCCATTCAACAAATATGTACTGAACACTTAACCAGGTGCCAGATATTCTAGGGATGGGACATACTGCTGTGGAAATGGCAAAAAGGTCTGTAGATTCATGGAGCTTATTTTCTTGTGAGTAAATAGATTTTGTGATCCGAAATCATGTAGGGGCAGTGAAGGCAATAAAGCAATGAAAGGGGATAGAGAGTGACTGAGAGGAGAGGTGCTCAGGGAAAACCTCCCTGAGGAGAGAACTGGATGATGAGATGAAGTGAGCCATTCAGAACTGTGGGGAAAGGGTCTTGAGGAGGGAATGGGCTTGGAGATTCTAGGACCAGCAAGAGTGCCCAGGGGATTGGAGTATGGGAGCCAGGATAAAGTACTGGGGATGAGGTCAGCAAGATCACCAGGGCCCACATCATGTAGAGCCCTGAGGCTGTGACAGCCATTTTGGATTTTATTCCAAGTCTCATGAGAAGCCAAGGGTAGGTTTTGAACAGGGGAATGATAGGATCTGATTTTGTTTCTTATAAGTTTACCTCCTGAGTAGAGAATAAATGATGGGGGGTGGGCAAGAAAGGGAGCAGAGAGAGCAGTTGAGGCTATTTCAGTAATCTAGGAGAGAAATAAGAGTTGCTTAGAGTAGGATGCTGGAGCTGGAGGTGGTGAGACAGGGCCGGAAGCATGATATATTTTGAAGGTAGAGAAAATGAGATCGCTGATGGCTTGCAGTTGGCACGTGAAGGAAAGTGAGGATAAAGAAGGACTTCCAGGTTTTTGTCTTGAGCAACTGGAAATACTGAGATGGGAAGACTGGGGGAGAAGCAGATTTGAAGGCTTTGGGGAGGAGAGGGGAATCAGAAATGAAATTTCAGATTCTTTTTAAATATCCCTAGTGGAGATGTTGAATAGGCAGTGGGTAAGTAGTCAGCAGCTTAGGGGAGAGAAGAGGACGGAAATTTGAATTTGGGAAAGATTTAAATTTGGGGAACCATTGATGGATATAAGTGGTATTTAAAGCCACAGGATTAGGCTGGGCACAGTGGCTCATGCCTATAATCCCAGCCCTTTGGGAGGCTGAGGCAGGTGGATCACTTGAGGCCAGGAGTTTGAGACCAGCCTGGCCAACATGGTGAAACCCTGTCTCTACCAAAAAATACAGAAAATTAGCCGTGTGTGGTGGTGCGTGCCTGTAGTCCCAGATACTCAGGAGGGTGAGGCAGGAGAATTGCTTGAATCCTGGAGGCGGAGGTTACGGTGAGCCAAGATCATACCACTGCACTCCAGCCTGGGTGACAGAGCAAGACTTCGTCAAAAAAAAAAAAAAAAAAGCCATGGAATTGGATGAGATGTAGGAGAGAAAGGAAATAGTTGGAGAAGAGGAGGTCAAGGACTGAGCCTTAGGACAAGCCAGCATTTAGTTGGGCAAAGGACAGTGAGAAGGAGGAAAACCAAGGGAGCGTCCCAGAAGTCAAATGAAGAAGGTGTTTGAAGAGGAAAGGAGGAATCAGCTGTGTCAACTGTTGCTGACAGGCCAAATGAGAGAACAGAGAGCTGCTCAGCAGGCTTGGCAATGTGAAGATCCGTGGTTTCAGTGGGGTGGAGAAAGCCAAACTGGAGTAGGCCCATGAGAGAAGGTGCAACAACTTCACATAACATTGTGTGAAAAGAGTCTGACCCAATAGCATCCATACTGCACAATTTCAGTTCTATCAAGTTTGAAAGCTGCAAAATTAAGCTGCATTGTTGAGAGATACACAGGTCATAAACTAAAGAGAAATGTAAGGAGTTGATTTCCTTAAAAGGATAAAGCTTGCATGTATAGAGGGAGAGGATTATGATCAAGAAGGATGAGTGGCGGCCGGTATGGTGGCTCATCCCTGTAATCCTAGCACTTTGGGAGGCTGAGGCAGGCGCATTACTTGAGGTCAGGAGTTTGAGACCAGCCTGGCCAACATGGCAAAACCCTATCTCTACTAAAAATACAAAAAGTTAGCCAGGTGTGGAGCCGCACGCCTGTGGTCTCAGCTACTCAGGAGGTTGAGGCACGAGAATCGCTTGAACCTGGGAGGATGAGGTTGTAGTGAGCCAACATCGCACCACTGCACTCCAGCCCGGGTGAGGGAGTGAGACTCTGTCTCAAAAACAAAAACAAAAAAAAACAAGGACAGATGGAACATGTTGTCACACATTGGGTGGTATGGGGTTCATCAGGCTGCACATGTATGTTCTGTGCATTTTTTTGTATGTTGTAGTTTACAGTTACAAAGAAGATAGCAGGAAGAAATGGTGAAAAAAGTAGGTAAGTCTTTTAAGGAGTTTTCCTGCAAAGCGGACAGAGAACTAGGTCTGGTGGTGGTCGTCAAAGGAGAACTTTTTTCTCCCTCCTTCCCTCCCTTCCTCCTAGATACTTGCATGTGTTGTAAAGAGTGAGCACAGTGGTACATCTTTTCTTAGCCACAGTCAGCTGCCCAGGAGCAGTGCTGAATGGGCAGAGCTGGATTTTACAGGGTTGGGATTTTGCCAGGTGAGTAAGATAGAGGGGAGAAGTGGGACCAGGGAGTTCCAGGTCTGTGAACGGCCCTGGCTGAGGAGCTGGATCATGAAATCTGAGTCAAGTAAGAAGGAAATTGAGGACACGAGTTGGGTATTGCATAGTGTTACTGTGTTAAGGTCAGGGGTCAAAGACTTACTGGCATGGAGTAACCAGAGTAAGTGAGCTGGAAAGATGAGTTGTCAGGGCAGAGAGGGGTGCTTGGAATTGAGGCTTTGGAGCTGTGAAGTGACAAGATGCAGGTATTACCATGGGAGTGGGCAGCTGAGGTGGGGTAAAGGAGATGCTCTGTGGAAGGGAGATGAAGGCACTGAAGTCAGCCAGAAACACAAAAACTGGTGGTGGTGAGTGAGCAGAGTGGCAGTGAGCCCCAAGGCTTCCAGTTTTCTCCTTGGACAAGTCATCGTAATTATTATTATTATTTTTTGAGATGGAGTTTCCCTCTTATTGCCCAGGCTGGAGTGCAATGGTGCAATCTCAGCTCACTGCAACCTCCGCCTCCTGGGTTCAAGTGGTTCTCCTGCCTCAGCCTCCCAAGTAGCTGCAATTACAGGCGCCCACCACCACGCCCAGCTAATTTTTGTATTTTTAGTAGAGATGGGGTTTCACCATGTTGGCCAGGCTGGTCTTGAAGTCCTGACCTCAGGTGATCCACCCGCCTTGGCCTCCCAAAGTAATCACGCTGGGATTACAAGCGTGAGCCACTGTGCCAGGCCAAGTCATAGTAATTATGAGATGTGGATCACTGGTACTGGGTACTTACTGTACTGCAGGCACTGACCCACACAAGTTGTATTGGTTATCTCATTTAATCCTGACCACCCTGAGGTAGGGAGGTGTCCACACTGTAAAATGAAGAAACAGAGGCTCAGAAAGTTAGTTGCCCTGACATCACAAAGCTGGTAAGTGGAAGGGCCAGGATTTAACCCTGGCAGCCCAGAGCGTGATTTGTATTCTGCAATACCATTTCCTTAATTTCTGAGCCTTAGTTCCCCTTTTACCTATAGGTATAGCACCAAGTCCCATCACAGAGTAGAAACCTGTTAAACGTTAATTTTCCTTGCCTTCCTCAGGTTTCCCTAATGTGGGAAAGTCCTCGCTGATCAATGGGCTGGTGGGGCGGAAAGTCGTGAGTGTCTCCAGAACCCCGGGCCATACCCGATACTTTCAGACCTACTTTCTTACCCCCTCTGTGAAGCTCTGTGACTGCCCAGGCCTCATCTTCCCATCTCTTCTGCCTAGGCAGTTGCAGGTATGACGGGGAGGGTGGGTAAGGGAAAGAGAGAAGGTGGGACATTGAGGAAAGTACTGAGTGCTCATTTCCCTCAGGTTCTGGCAGGGATCTACCCTATCGCCCAGATCCAGGAGCCCTACACTGCTGTGGGCTACCTGGCCTCCCGAATTCCCGTGCAGGCCCTGCTCCACCTGCGCCACCCAGAGGCTGAGGACCCCTCAGCGGAACACCCCTGGTGTGCCTGGGACATCTGTGAAGGTGAGTTCCATGTGCCTGGCTTCGCCCCACCTGGTTTCAGCTGCTCTTCCTTACCTGCCTCGCCTTTTACCCTTCCCTGTCTCCTTTCCTCTCCTCAGAGATTCTGCCATTGATGAAGCTGCTGTCCACTCACCCCTAGATTTTTGTTGCATAGCCAGTAAGATCTCTGGCCTGGAATGTTTTGGGGAAAACTGGAAGGACTGTGTTATGGGAGTGGGAGTATAACTGGTACCTGGTTAATGCTTTCCCTTTCCATTATTCTTTTCTTCCTCCAGCCTGGGCAGAGAAACGTGGTTACAAGACAGCCAAGGCGGCTCGGAATGATGTGTACAGAGCAGCCAACAGTCTCTTGCGGCTGGCAGTGGACGGCCGCCTCAGCCTGTGTTTTCATCCCCCAGGCTACAGTGAACAGAAAGGTCAGAGCCCAGATATTCTTCCCCAGCCCCCTGCTATAGCGTAGGTAAAAGGGTGTGGGCTTTGTGGCCAGAGAGAGGGTCAAACCTGGATTCTGTACCTGTTGGCTAGCTCTGTTACTTAACATCTGTGATATTTTCCTGATCTGCAAACTGAGGGTAATAATTGACCCTTAGCATAGTGATTGTAAAGATTGAAGTTGATGTGCACAAAGGTTCTGTTCAGCAATCTGCACATAGGAAGTTGAATGAATGGATGAATGAATGAATGCCAGCAGCTCTAAAGATTATTGTTATTCCTAGTCTTTGCCTCTTCCCCATCTTTCCTTGGCTTTAGTTCTTGCTCAAAACTCTCCTCCATTTTTTTCTTGTTTTGGTTCCCCAGGCACCTGGGAGTCCCATCCAGAGACCACGGAGCTGGTGGTTTTGCAGGGCAGGGTGGGGCCAGCAGGTGACGAGGAGGAGGAGGAAGAGGAAGAGCTGAGCAGCTCCTGTGAGGAGGAGGGAGAGGAGGACCGGGATGCGGATGAGGAGGGAGAAGGGGATGAGGAGACCCCAACCTCGGCTCCAGGGTCCAGCCTGGCTGGCCGAAACCCTTATGCCCTGCTGGGTGAGGATGAGTGCTGAGTTCCTCGCCCAGCGCCATCTTCCCTCCCAGTATCTTTGCTTTTGGACTGACCTGGGGGTATCTCCCCTCTGCCACCCCAATTGTGAATAAAGATTGTTTGCTTTGTAGCCCCTTCCCCAGATGAACTGAGGTGAGAGCGGCTGTTCCAGGCTAACAGCTGTGGGAGGCTTCTCTCCTCTTCTCCCTTCTTTTTTCATGCATTCTCTTTGCAAGGGAAAGTTCTCTTAGGAGTTTAGTAGGTTCTCAGTCTCTGAAACCTGCTTCCTCTACCCATTCTCCCACTCTGCACCTTAGGAATCCCGTTATCTACATGGGGAGGGGAGGTCTAAATCCAGCTCCCTTTTGGAGTTTGTGCCATTCTCCGATTTGAGCAGCAGCCCTGTGTGCCCCCTGCCGCCAGACCTGCTCATTCCAGGAGCTTCTGGGAGAAGGAACAGTAAGAGAGGAACTGTGTCCCAAGCTGATGTCTCTTAATGAGATTTTTACAGGAATTGTTCAAATTCAGCAAATATTTATTGAGGGTCTATTGTGTGTCTTGACCTGTGCTGAGCACCAAGCATATAAGGATGTACCACCAGAGCCTGACCTAAATTTGAAGCCTGGCCATGATCAAAACCCCACCTTCAGGCACCCAAGTTTTTGGATTAAGAAGGGTGAATGATGTTCTCCAAATCCTGGGGGCTCATGCAGTATAATTCTAGGACTTCATGTTGATACAAATTTTTAGTTAAGGCAAAACGCTTGTGAAAATGTTGATTAAATGTGTACGAGTAGTTTTAATTACTGGTGAACAACTAGCGTGCACATTTATGATTTGAGCAGAACAGCCCTTTAAGTACAGTGTTAAGTTTCATTGTTTAAAAGCTTGGCAGCTACGAGTATTTGAGGTACATAGGGGCGGGCACAGAACCAGCCTCCTGAATTCCATTTACTCTGGTTTGGGGGTGGAACAAAGATGATCCAGTGCAGGGTCTGAGCTAGAACCTAGCAGGTGGCCAGAACCATTTTAGGGTTTCACCTCAGCATTTCGGCAGAAATCAGCTCTCTCGTGAGTCAGGGCACCTTAGGCTTTGCTGTATATCCCTTTGTTAAGCCAGCAGCTAGACTCCTAGATTGAATTCTTTTAGAAATGGGAGAATGAGCTTTTTTATTGACTGCCAGTGTTGTCTGTATTGGATGATAGCAAAAAGTGTAGTTGGACAGGTTGCCCACTAGATGGAGTGAGAAGTACCAGACTCCTTTTTTCTCTAAAGCAGATCCTTTCAGGATCTGAGTCACTGGGCAGTTTCTCTAATGCGAGCAGACAGACCCTGTTAACCAAGGAGCAAAGGAAAGTATATTTAAAGAGGCTAAGGTGTTTGGCCACATATTGCTTTAGGTTCATCTCCATTGGTCTCAGTGTGGACATAACTCCTGGAATTCACTCCAGTGCAAAGTTTAAATAATACCAGCATGAGAATGTACTTGAAGGTTTCCCAAAATGTGCTAGACAAGAAAGAGAAAAGGTCCCAGCTGAGAGAAAAATCCACCTGTCTCCCATCTGGGGCTCTTTGGCCTCACTGATAGAAAAGGAAAAGGGGCCCAAGCTAAGCTTACTTTGAGGGTTCATGATGTTCAGAGATGCTCAGGGGACTTCTCCGCTGCAGGAGGTGGGGTGAGGACATTGGATTCATTTCCTCAAAATGTGGAGAGAAAGGAGAAAAATCAGAATTCTATTTGTACCTCTGCTTCCTGTGCTGTTTATCTTTGCTTGTCTTTATCTTTTTCCACCTCAGGGGTTTCATCAGGGGTATTTGGGAGAGTCTAGGGGTGGGGATGAAGAATTGACTGGGAGCTGAGGAGGGGGGATTTTTATGCTGAAGACCTGGCAGGAGGCAACTCCTGACACCCCCACAGGGTTAGACTGTAAAACCTCTTCCATGACTTGCTGACTCTATAGGATAATAGCAACAGGAAAAGAACTGAGGGACGTGCAGATGAGGATGAATAGGGCCCCAACACCAGTGCCTGAGGCTGAGGTTAGAACTGACTACAAAGACACAGGAAACCAAGGGCCCAGTCTCCCCTCCACGCTGAAATACGCACCCTCTTGTCTGGGTCATGTCTACTATGTGAATACTTGACCATGGAGGTCTGGGGCTCTGGTGGCTTCCATAGCTGGCTAGTCTCTTGATGGAGAGAAATCAGGGCTTCTCTCATCCATGCTGGAATTTCATTTAGATGTCAACTTCCAAGTTTCCCTTTTTCCAGATGGGATTATAGTCCTGCTTCTGGAACAGGGTAGCTGTGTGTGGTCCAGGATAGTTCAATTATCTGGCCCTTTGTTCACTTCTTACAATCATTGATACAGTCAACAAAAATTGGTTAAAAACAATATATGCCAGACATATATCCCTGAGTTCTGGGACAATAACCAAAATTGAATAAGGCAATATCCTACTCTCAAGCAATAGAGGGTAGGAATAGAATAATAATAATATAATACAATAGCTCTATAGCAGTATGTAAACTATAAAAGCATTATTTTACGTGTTTCTATTGAACTGTCATAACTAAATAAGATGGTTAGTACTATAATTATCCCAAGGATTCATTCACTCATAGAACATTTGTTGAGCAATTACTACCTGCCAGTCACTTCCAAGTGGTAAGTGAGATAGAAATGGTTCTTTGTGGCGCTCACAATTTATTGGAGAATGGAAACACAATTACAAAAAAAAAGTGTGATAAGTTCTGGGAGAAGGGTGGTACAGGATCCTGTGGGGTAGTGGTGGCTCCATATAGGAGGGACATTGGGATACTGATCAGGAAGGAGTGGGGGACAGGGCTAGAAGCTGCATTAGTATAAAGTTATGTCAGACTGCCAAAACAAAACAAACACAAAAAATCAGTAGTCTGTGGTAAAGAATTGCTATAGGAACAGCCAGTAGGGGCAGTTAAGCTGGTCTTGGTGAATCAGGGGAAGCGTCCTAGAGGAACAGATGTCCATGCTGAGGCCAAATGCTGGACAGGAGTTAGCCAGACAGGGAAATTGCATTCTGGGCAGAGGAGACAGCAAAGGTCAAGAAACATGACAACTTTGGAAGACTGTAACTTGTTCAGAGGCAGAGGGTGCAAAGGAGAAATGAGGAAAGGTGAAGCTGGAGAGGTGGGCTTGGTCCAGCTCTTGCTGGGCCTTTTCAGCCGTGTTAAAGATTTAGACTGTATCCAGAGGGATGTTGAACTTTAAGCCTAAGACTGAAAAGGTGAGAATTGTGCCTTAGATCACTATGGTTGCAGTGTGGAGACTGGTTTGGAAAGGGGAGAAATCAGAGGCTTTTACAGCCATCCCAGGGAGAGAGAATGAACACCAGAATTAGGGTAATGGAAGATGGAAAGAAGAGAAATCGTTTTATGGGTTGCTCAGGAGATAGAATTGACATGTCTTGGGATTGTTTTGCTGTGTAGGGGAGAGAGACAAGTCAAGAGTATACATCCTGTTTCTGACTTGGCAACTGGGTGGGTCATGGGTCTGTTTCCTGAGACAGTTGTCTACAGCCATACCACCGTAAGCGCCCTAAATCTCATCAGAGACAGTTTATGCAAATGGAGCTTGGGGAAAGAGAGGTCGTGGCTGGAGACAGAGATTTGGGCATCATCAACATATAGGTGTGGGGAGCAGAGAAGGCTGAGGAAGAAAGCAGGAAACATATAAAAAGGAGAGCAGGGAAAGGAGCCAGTGAGACAGGAAAAACCTAGTAACGTGGTGTGATGAAGCTAGGGGAGGAAGGAAGGAAGGAAGGGCGGCGTGGAACGCTGCTGATGGGTGGTGGCGGGGAAAATGAACGAGTATCCACCAGCAACGAGAGGGGCCTCCATGGTCTTGGTGGGAGCATTTCTTTGGAGAGGTGGAATCAGAAGCCCCAGATGTCAGAGGGTTAAGGAATAATTTGGAGGAAAAGCGTAAAGGCAGTGGAGGTGAGGAGAGAATTTTCAAAATGTTTGGCAGTGATTGCAATGAAAGAAAAAAATGGAGGGAGCAGAGTATATGCAGTTGAGGAACTTTTTTAGTTTGGAGTGTGTTAACACGATGTTAGGAAGAAGGATCAAGTGAAGGAGAAAGGTGAAAATGCTGGAAGGTGGGGCTTAGTGATGAAACAAACCTTGGGGACAGGTGGGCGTGGTACTGAGAGTCCCAGTGAGGGGAGTGCCCTCAGGCAGGCGCCGGTGGCTTCTGTCACAGGAGGGAACAGCGCTGACATTCAGCTGGTTCGCACTGATACGGCTCAACCAGTTTGTTAAAACATGTCTGTTCCAGTGTCAGTAATATACGAGTAACTGCAATATGCAGTAAAAATTATAAATTCTAATACAAACTCAGTTCAAGCTAATTAAGAGATCGCAACAGCCGTTGGTAAATGGACTTCCCGCTGCATTTGAGAAGCTTTGCAGCGCCATCTGCCGGTGTCGTAGCATCACTGCAGGCTGAGAGGCTGCTTTGCGCCTTCATCTTGAAGCACTCTGAAATTGCCTGTTTAAATTACCTTGGAATCATGGAGTTGCTACTGCTTCTGAATAGTTTAGCTTCTACTTTGATTTTATTGTTAGTGCATTGTCGTTCTTGTGTCAGTAGCAAGTTTCAGTGTTTTAATATTTACAAATACAAAAATTTTTAATAAAATATTAAAGCCAAACTTGAATGAAGAGACAACAAAGTTTGGATATGTTTCTTTATGTGCCTTTTGACATATCATAAATGAGAATCTTTTGATTCCTCAGGAGAACAAAGAAGAAATATTAATGAGCTGCAGCCAGGAATGTTTTCTGTTACTGTGTAAAAATCAGAATAATATGGAAATCATTTGCAACTTTTTATTTTGAAAAATTTCTAACATAGAAAAAGAACAATAAACACCCAAATACTGAAAGATTCAACAAATTCTACATTTTGCCATATTTGCTTTACTAGTTTTTGCCAGCTTCTGTATTAATCGATTTTTCTGTCTACTTATCCATTTTTTTTGTTGTCATTACCTTTTATTTTTAAAAATTTTAACCTTTAATTGTAAATTGGCAAATTATAGTTGTATATATTTATGGCGTACAAAGTGATGTTATGATTCATGAATACACTGTGGGATGATTAAATCAAGCAAATTAACATCTATCACTTTTTTTTTTTTTGAGATGGAGTTTCACTCTTGTTGCCCAGGCTGGAGTGCAGTGGTGCAATCTCGGCTCACTGCAACTTCCGCCTCCCGGGTTCAAGTGATTCTTCTGCCTCAGCCTCCCGAGTAGCTGGCATTACAGGCGTCCGCCACCATGCCCGGCTAATTTTTTGTATTTTTAGTAGAGACGGGGTTTCACCATGTTGGCCAGGCTGGTCTCCAACTCCTGACCTCAGGTGATCCACCCACCTCCACCTCCCAAAGTGCTGGGATTACAGACGTGAGCCACTGCACCCGGCCCAACATCTATCACTTTTAAATACTTACTTTTTTTGTGGTGAGAATGTTTGAAATTTACTCTCTACATTCAGAGGAGGGAATATGTTAAAAATGTAAAAAAGATATTTACCCTCAACACTTATGAAATGTCCAAGAATTATTTACTATATTCACTTTGCTGTGCAGTATATCTCAAAGAAAAAGAAAAGCTTATTTTTCCAGTCCAATGAAGCTTTGTAACCTTTAACCATCATATCCCCATTTACCCCAGACCCCCAGCCTCTGGTAACTACTATTCTGCTCTCTCCTCCTTTAAGTTCGATTGTTTTAGATTCCACTTATAAGTGAGAACATACAGTATTTGTCTTTCTGTGCCTGGCTTACTTCACTCAGCATAATGTTCTCCAATTCCATTAACGCTGTCTCAAATGACAAAATTTCTTTTTAAAGGCTGAATAGCATTCCACGGTATATATACCATATTTTCTTTCTTTCTTTCTTTTTTTTTTTTTTTTTTGAGACGGAGTCTTGCTCTGTCACCCAGGTTGGAGTGCACTGGTGCAATCTCAGCTCACTGCAAACTCCGCCTCCCAGGTTGAAGTGATTCTCCTGCCTCAGCCTCCAGAGTAGCTGGGACTACAGGCGCCTGCCACCACGCCCAGCTAATTCTTTTGTACTTTTAGTAGAGATGGGGTTTCACCGTGTTAGCCAGGATGCTCTCGATATCCTGACCTCGTGATCCGCCTGCCTCGACCTCCCAAAGTGCTGGGATTACAGGCTTGAGCCACTGCGCCCGGCCTATATACCATATTTTCTTTATCCATTCATCTGCTGATGAACACTCGGTTTGACTATGTAACTTCACTGTGGTTAATAGTGCTGCAGCGAACATGAGAGTGCAGGTATCTCCTCGACATACTGATTTCAAATCTCTTTAGTAAATACCCAGACGCAAGATTGCTGGATCATATGGTAATTCTTTTTTTTTTTTTTGAGATGGAGTTTCACTCTTGTTGCCCAGGCTGGAGTGCGATGGCACGGTCTCAGCTCACTGCAACCTCCGCCTCCCGGGTTCAAGCGGTTCTCCTGCCTCAGCCTCTCAAGTAGCTGGGATTACAGGCGCCCACCACCACGCCCAACTAATTTTTGTATTTTTAGTAGAAATGGGGTTTCACCATATTGGCCAGGCTGGTCTCGAGCTCCCGACTTCAGGTGATCCGCTCACCTCGGCCTCCCAAAATGATGGGATTAGAGGTGTGAGCCACTGTGCCCAGCCCCATATGGTAATTCTATTTTTAGTTTTTTGAGGAACCGCCATACAGTTTTCCATAATAGCTGTACTAATTTACATTCCTACCAACAGTATACAAGTGTTGTCTTTTCTCAACCATTTGAACTTTTTTTTTTCTTTTTGAGATGGAGTTTTGCTCTGTCACCCAGGTTGGAGTGCAGTGGTGCAATCTTGGTTCACTGCAACCTCTGCCTCCCGGGTTCAAGTGATTCTCTTGCCTCAGCCTCCCCATTAGCTGGGACTACAGGTGTGCACCACCATGCCTGGCTAATTTTTGTATTTTTAGTGGAGACGAGATTACACCACGTTGGCCAAGGTGGCCTCAAACTCCTGACCTCAGGTGATCCGCCTCCTTCGGCCTCCCAAAGTGCTGGGATTGCACTGCACCCAGCCCTGAACCATTTGAAAGTTGGAGACATCGGCTGGGCATGGTGGCTCATACCTGTAATCCCAGTACTTTGGGAGGCCGAGGTAGGCGGATCACCTGAGGCCAGGAGTTGGAGACCAGCCTGGCC